>NC_000012.12:40035885-40187400 GCF_000001405.40 Homo sapiens | reverse complement strand
TTGTCCCACCTTTGCTTCAAGTTGTCCCACCTTTCTGGACCAAATTAATGTTCATTTTACATATGTTGATTGATGTCTCATGTCTCCCTAAAATGTACAAAACCGAGCTGTGCTCTGACCATCTTGGGCACATGTTGTCAGGACTTCCTGAGGCTGTGTCACAGGTGTGTGTCCTCAACCTTGGCAAAATAAAATTCCTAAATTAACTGAGACCTGTTTCAGATCTTTGGGGTTCACATTACTGGGCAGTAACCAAGAGATCATTCTAATCTAATACCCTTTTCTAAATTAGGAAATTGAAACCCGGGGAAGGGAGGTGACTTTCACAAGGATGCCCTGTTGATAATAGCAAAGCTGAGATTAGGCTTTTATGTCTCTATCCAACCACCTATCCCAACTCTATTTAGAGGCCTCATATGGCACTCTGGCTGATAAGTGATGATTAATATATAATCCCTTTCAGTCTTGTTCCATTCATTCTCCAGATAACAGATGAAGTAACTTATTCTAAGGTGAAAAGAGTAGTAACTGTATATGCCTTACCACATCCACAGTGTTTGGATTTCTACTGATCATTCCCGGAAAGGAAAAGTCCCAAATCAAAGAATCAAATGTCTACATCACTGCTGTCAGATGTGGGAGATAATGAGAGCCAGGGACATTTTCCTGAACTTTCTAAAATTGTACGACCTAGATACCAACGATTCTACAATATCTGATCAGAAGTGACCCATCCATATATTTTTAATGATTAGTGATGACCTCAATAGTACATCAATTATCAAGTAGAAAATTGCCAACATGTTTTATCTAGAAGCATATCAAAGGATCCTTTTGATTCTTAAAATCACCTATAAGTGATCCTTTGCCTTCTCAACATAACTATTTTTTTTAAAACACTAACATCTATGAAAAAAAAAACTTAATATCTTGCTGTAACTTGGTTTCTCAGCTGAAAATTGTATCCTTAATTAAGGCTGCCTTGAGATTTAGGCCACTAGGTCATTGAAAAGGGTAAGCTTCATAACTAAAAGTGAAGGAAGAGCCTGGATATGTGGTCAACGATGTGCCTCAAGATAAATAACCTATTTCTTATTTTTTTCTCAATTTCTGAGACTCTTCTTACTGTTGGCAAAGTCACTGTAGCCCCAGAAGCAAAAGCTGTTGTTGCTCCATCTTTCCTGGAATCAATGCTTGCCTTTAATTCCCCTTTACAGATTCACCTCTAAGAATTTTCTTTGAATGTTCCTGGGATGGATGAAATGGGGGGAGTGAAGAAGATTTGTACTACTTCTAAAGCAGAGTTTACAATTCAAGCTCTGAAGAAGAAAAAATAAATAAACTTAAGTAAATGTAAACACAAGTTGAGGCACATTCAATAATGAACTCTAACTTTGCATTTAAAGGAAGAAAGATCTGCAGATAAATGAGGTCAAAAATCCCTGGGGCTGATGGTAAAGAGAATCTTGACAGCATCTCACTTCATCAAACAGAGCTTGAGAAAATTATCCATTCCAGATAAGCTTCTTTACCTTGATGGCAGTCATATAGCCAAGCTTAATGAGCAAAATTTCAAGCAAATACACTTTTTTTCCAATAATGTAAAAATAAAACAAGAATGCCTACACTTACTATCACTCATCATATATCTAAGCACACAATGTTAGAGGTGATTCCAAGGAATCATCTCTCATCTGTCCTCCCTACTGAAATCATCCCAAAGTAGAAAAGATCCTTTACTTATTTGCTTGTTTGTTTGTTTATTATTTTTTGAGACAGGGTCTCATTCTGTCACCCAGGCTGGTGTGCAGTGGCACAAACACAGACCACTGCAGCTTTGGCCTCTCCTGGCTCAAGTGATCCTTCCACCTCAGCCTCTCGAGTAGCTGGTATTACAGGTGAGTGCCACCAGCTCCAGCTAATTTTTGTAAAGACAGGGTTTCGCCGTGTTGCCCAGGCTGGTCTTGAATTCCTGGGCTCAAGTGATACACTCTCCTCGACCTCCCAAAATGTTGGGATTACAGGATCCTTTACTTTAAAATATCCTGGGGCTTTATCAATAACTCTGAAAAACTTTGTGAATTTTCTTGAACTGTGGACTTAAACATTCTTGTTTAATTTGGAGCTTATGAGTAAATATGTTAAAAAATAGTCCACCAGATAACTATCCTATGCCAGAAAACTTTAAAATCGTGAAGGGGAAGAAAATCATGTAATGTTACTATCTTTAACGGGAACAAAATGTAGTTAAGATTGCAACAGAATTTTCCATAAAATGCAAACATGGTGTGATAAGCACTTATTAAGTGCTCAACAAATATTTGTTAAATGAATGATTGCCTTATGGGAAGAAAGTGCCACTTAATGATAACAATATGCATGTTTGAAAGTAGAAAATTTTAGGAACTTGAAGAAACAACCAAATGTCAATATATGTTGAAATAGTACTATTAAACATGCAGTTGGTATATTGCCTCTTGCTTATGATAATTAATCCAATTAAATAAGGCAAGGAACCTTCATGAGAAGGTTTTGGAGAGGTCTTCAGATGTGGATAACTTTGTTGTTAAGACTTTGAGATACAGCTAAAAGCAGCAGAACTAGTTTTCCTGCTCATTTGGCATAAAATAATAAGTTTTAATAGAATTTAATTGGCCTAAAGGGCTCTCCTCCAAAGGACCACCTACCCACCAACTTTCAAATGAAGTTTCTTAGCATGAGGAGCAGGTGATGTAATGAGAAAAGCTCAGAGTTTGTATTCCAACACACTTAGGCACAAATCATGGCACTAACGTTTATTGTTGCAAGTGACCAAGGGCAAATAAATGTATTTTCTTATCGGAAAAATTGAGACAATAATATGTACCTTTCAGAACTCTTGTGAGGATTAGTGATAATATATGTAAAACTCCTAATATGTAAGTATTAAATAAATAATAGCTATTATCAAAATTATAAAAAATAATTTTAAAATGAGAAAACATTTAAAAATAAGACAAAATTATGGAATAATCGTTGGCTTAAAATAATAGCACTCAAGACTACAATTCTTCATATAAAACATAATCTAGAATCTGAAAGAATCTTTTCTACTCATTATACTGTAAATGAAAAGAGTCAAACTCTGTAAAATATTGGATGAGATTTATTTTGAGCCAAATGTGAGTGACCGGTGGCCCATGACACAGCCCCAGGAGATCCTGAGAACATGTGCCCAAGGTAGTTGGGCTACAGCTTGGTTTTATACATTTTAGAGAGACATCTAAAATGTACATTGGTTTGGTCCAGAAAGGCAGGACAATTGGAAGATGGTGTGGGGGACTTCCAGGTCATAGGTGGATTCAAAGATTTTCTGATTGGCAATGGGTTGGTTGAAAGAGTTATTATCTGAAGGCCTGGAATGAATAGAAATAAATGCCTGGGTTAAGATAAGGGGTTGTGGAAACCAAGGTTTTATCATGCAGTGAAGCCTCCATGTAGCAGACTTGAGAGCTCTTATCAGGCCTAAAAAGATGCCAGACTCTTAGTTAAGTCTCTCCTGGATGAGAGGAAAGACCTGGAGAGGAAGGGAGATTCTCTACAGAATGAAGACTTTCCTCACAAGAGACAGCTCTGCAAAACCATTTCCAGTTATGCCCAAGAAATGTATTTCGGGGTAAAATACTTTGATTTCTTTTTGGGCCTGCTATCTGTCATGTGATGCTATACTTGATGTCTTATTGCTACAAAAAGTCTGCCTTGTCAGTTTTACGATCTCTGTTTTAATGTTAATGCTGGTCAGTTGTGCCTGGATTCCAAAGAGAGGGGGGTATAATGAGGCATGTCTCATCCTCCCCTCTTCCCATCATGGCCTGAACTAGATTTTCAGGTTTACTTTGGAATGCAATTGGCCAAATGGCATCGGGGTTCCATCAGTTGGTTGTGGGGCTTAGAAATTTATTTTTGGTTTATAACACTGTTTTATCTTTTTCCATTTGTATTAAAAATTCAAGCTTACAAAAACATTGAAAGTAGTACAATGAATATCTGTATATCCTTCACCTAGATTCAGGAATTGATATTTTACCACATTTAGAGTCTCTCTCTCTCTCTCTCTGACTCTCTCTATATATACACATACACACATACATACACATACATGCATATATATATATTTACCTTTGGAAATAAGTTGAAAATATTATAATAACAACTCACTCCTAAATACTTCAGCATGCCTTTCCTAAGAATAAAGACATTCAGTGAACTCATTTATTTTAAGACACCAACCAGGAAAAATAAATGTAAACAAATTGTTAATTGTCATGCACTAAACTCATTTTCTTGAGTTGGAAATCTCTGCACTTTTCTTGGTACCAATCTGCAATTATGGGCTTGGTGGACCGTGGACTCTAATAAAGGCCTACTGAAAGCTTATAAAGTAAAATGTTTTGTGCAATAAGTAGTTTGAAAATGACCTATTTTATATAAGTTAGAGTTTTATCATCAGCAATACCATTCATGAAAATGTGCTTTACTATAGCAATATAATTGTGAAAAGACAGATGACTGTGAAGATGCATTCAAGACCTGAAGGCTGGCTTTCTGAACATCTTATGCACTGCTGACCTTCCCCTAGTCTTTGCTCTGTAGGGTTTCTACACAATACTGCTGTGCTGGAATAGCACCACCACACAATATCCCTTACCCCAGAGAACACCTTATAAAAAGGCGCTTTCACAATGTTGTTTTTTCCCCTCTGCCTTATCTCTGTATTCAACCTTTTCTTCTACCTTCATTTTTATTTATTTTATTTTATTTTATTTTATTTTATTTTGGAGACAGGGTCTTGTTCTGTCTTCCAGGCTGGAGTGCATTAGTGCAATCATTGTTCACTGCAGCCTTGACCTTCCAAGCTCAAGCAATCCTCCCAGCTCAGCCTCTCAAGTAGCTGGGACTACAGGTGCACACCGCCACACCTGGCTAATTGTTTTTATTTTTTTGTAGAAACAAGGTGTCCCTGTTTCCCAGGCTCGTCTTGAACTTCTAGGCCCAAGTGATTCTCCCACCTCAACCTCCCAAAGTGCTAGGATTACAGGCGTGAGCAACTGCATCTAGTTGCTTCTACCTTTATTGATGCACATTTCAGTCAATTCTACCTGAGACAACTTTTAAACATGTAAACTCACTTTGATTAATAATTTCCTCTCTCTTGAATTTAGTCACTTCCAGCTTTTGTTCAATTATCACAAAACGATCTCATTCCTTCTTGGTATCCTAGCCTTCCTCATTTGCTTCTCTTTTTTTTATTGTGAAACGAAATAATCCCAGTCACTACTAATGAACTAGTTAACCTTGAGCAAATTGCTTGAAGCCTCCTGGACCTCAATTTTCCCTCCTGGCGACCTGGGATAATTGAGTTCCATTTCCAAAGCCAGCACTGAGAGTCAGGTCGGCTTGTGTGAGGATAAGCAGGTGGATTCTGGCCTCAACCTGCCTAAGTGGATATTTCTGCTTCTTAATTACTAGTTTGATGGCTGTAAGTTACTTAGCTTATCATACCTCAGTTTCCTCATTTGTAAAGCAGATGTGTCAATAAGAGTACCTGCCTCATAAAGCTGAGTTAATATTTATACCCAGTAACCCTGCCTGTGACTGAAAAAAATATAACTTTTTTAACTGATGTGAAAATACACCCACATCAAAGAACAAACACCGGAAGCTCTGAGATAAGAGTGAACAATAAAGAACCAATGGGATCAAATGTCTAAAAGTATTGAGCATGTTTAAAATGTTTTATCAGAATAGATGACTGTAAATGTCTCCCACTACCTACTGAGAAACAAAAATAAAATCCTAATCTCCTTCCCCACCACACACCCACTGACTGAACAGACTCCCTCTTGGCTAAGGGTACACTGGAGAAACCTTCAAAGTGCATTCTTGGCCATGATGCAAAGGATGGTAGAACAGCTCCCTTTCCTTGCTAGCTGCCGTTAGGCTTTCTTCCATAGGGCTAAGCAGAAACCAGTTCTCTCAAAAGACTCACTGCATGGCAGTTTTCTTTGGTTTTTTGTGTTTTTTTTTGAGATGGAGTCTCGCTCTGTCACCCAGGCTGGAGTGCAGTGGTGCGATCTCGGCTCACTGCAAGCTCCACCTCCCGGGTTCTCGCCGTTCTCCTGCCTCAGCCTCCCGAGTAGCTGGGACTACAGGCGCCCGCCACCATGCCTGGTTAATTTTTTTGTATTTTTAATGGAGACGGGGTTTCACCATGTTAGCCAGGATGGTCTCAATCTCCTGACCTCGTGATCCACCCTTCTCGGCCTCCCAAAGTGCTGGGATTACAGGCCTGAGCCACCGCGCCCGTCCTGCATAGCTGTTTTCAACCAACCACCTGATGCTGCCTTTCGCTTTTGAGGTTTCAACAAAACAATCCACCAGCCTTCACTAGCGATAGGAGACCACTGACCACAGGGTGGCTCTAGCCAGTCTATGGAGGCTGCACAGTGAGACTCTTTGTGTTCTGTGCTTCACCTTTTGATATCAGAGGCCCAAAATTTCCACCCATAGATCATGCTAATGCTGCCATTTTTTTGTGCATGCTACTCATGACTGGATGAAGCTCAATTGGACATGTTCATGTTTTGCCTATCATAAATATTAATGGATCCTCCTAGAGTTTCATAAATATGGCTATTCAGCTACCATGCTCAGCACAAATTCCTATCCTTTTTGCTCCTCCTGTGAAGTGCAGTTTCTGGCTTCTGGCCAGAGGCTACTCTTCCCAGCCTTTCAAAATGGCCACCCTGCAGAGACTGCAGCCCGTTATGACAAATAAAGTTCTCCTTTCCAAATTTGTGAACCTTGGCATGTTCCAGTTGACACCACTTTCTTCTCATCCTCTAATCAAACCTGTCATCAGAAAGTTCATTAATCCGGGCAGGGTGGTGTAAGCACCCAAGGGCTTCACCTTGCCCACTGCTTAGAGCCAATTCATGAAGACAGGGGAATTGCAATAGAGAAAAAGTAATTCACACAGAGCTGGCTGTGTGGGAGGCCAGAGTTTTATTATTACCCAAATCAGTCTTTCTGAGCATTAGGGGAGCAGAGTTTTTAAGGGCAATTTGGTGGGTGGGAGAAAGCCAGTGAGCCAGGAATGCTGATTGGTCAGGGATGAAATAATAGGGATTGGAAGCTGTCTTCTTGTATTGAGTCAGTTCCTGAATGGGGCCCACAAGGTCAGATGATCCAGTTAATCAGTCTGGGTAGTGCCAGCTGATCCATCAAGTGCAGGGACTGCAAAATTTCTCAAGGATTGATCTTAGTAGCAGTTTAGGGAGGGTCAGATTCTTGCTGCAGCTGCATGACTCCTAAACCATAATTTCTAATCTTGTGGCTAATGTTAGCCCTACAAAGGCAATCTAATCCCCAGGCAAGAAGGTCTGCTTTGGGAAAGTGCTGTTACCTTCTTTGTTTTAAACTATAAGTTTCTCTTAAAGTTAGTTCAGTGTACACCCAGGAATGAACAAGGACAGCTTGGAGGTTAGAAGCAAGTTGGAGTCAGTTAAGATAGATCTCTTTCACTGTCTCAGTCACAATTTTTCAAATGTGGTTTCAGTGGTTCACACCTGTAATCCAGCATTTTGGGAGGTGGAGGTGGGAGGTGCCAGGAGTTTGAGATCAGCTTGGGCAACATAGGGAGACCCCATCTCTATCAGAAAATAGTAAATAAATAAGCAAGCCAAGCACGGTGTCACACACCTGTAGTTCCAGCTACTTAGGAGGCTGAGGTGGGAGGATCACTTGAGCCCAAAGTCAAGGCTGCAGTGAGCCATGATCGTGCCACCACATTCCAGCCTGGTGACAGAGCAAGACCCTGTCCCCAAAAAGAAAAAAAGAAAAAAAAATTGATTAAAATAAAATTCTCAATATATTTTTTTAAATTACTGTCATTGTAATTGTCTAATTTTTAAAAATGTCATTGTGTGTTATATCAGGTTCATCTGGGGAGGAAATTCACTTGGGGGCAGACATGGTTGGGGCTTAACCACAGTATCTATTATTTCTAGGTTCTCATTTTGTGAAAGTATGTATTTCCAAAGTTAAAAACAAGACCCTCATACAAATGCTAGTGAGCATACATCAAAGATATTTACCTGCTTAATGAGGGAACCAGAAGAATGGTAAAGTTGGTTCAAAAGAAGAAAGGAGAGACTAGTATATAAAAGTCAACGAAGAAAGAATGCTGAAAAAAGGTTGCTAAATCAGATTTTTAAAATACTGATTAATACCTGTCAGGGCAATAAAACTATAACTTTTGGGCTTTATCTCTTCTACTGGAAAGATAATATTTGTTTCTCTATGAGAAAAAAATAATTTACAACCCAACAGTCTTTGAGAAAGCAACGTCTAACTTTGCAGTCTGAGCGCCTGTTAACAGTAAAGAGTAAATCTGGCCAGGCACAGTGGCTCATGCCTGTGATCCCAGAACTTTGGAAGGCTGAGGCAGGGGGATCACTTGAGGTCAGGTGTTCAAGACTACCCTGGCCAACATGGTGAAACCCTATCTCTACAAAAAAAAAAATACAAAAAATGAGCCAGGCTTGGCAGCACGCACCTGTAGTCCCAACTACTTGTGAGGCTGGGCATGAGAATCCCTTGAACACAGGAGGTGGAAGCTGCAGTGAGCTGAGCTCGCACCACTGCACTCCAGCCTGGGTAACACAATGAGACTCCAACTCTCCAACTCAAAAAAAAAAAAAAAGTAAATTCAACGAAAGTTGCAACCTCTAAATGCTCTCATGCAGGCTGATTAGTATAACAGTGAAAGAACATTCAGTGACATTTTTGCCTTATCTTTAAGTCACGGCTAATTCATCTCAGATTTTTGAACAATTTACAAATAACTCTTTTTAAGACAATCCATCCAAAAATTGAGAGTCTTCTATACAAATGAAGTAGGTAAGCATGGCCCATGACTTTCGGTTTTGTATTTGGGAAGACAGTGTATACACATAGACAAAGCCCAATGATGTTTACAACACATGTTTTTAAAAGTTTAGTTTGATGTATGAATAAGTAGTTGGAATCAGTTCTAGCTTAATGCAAGTAATCAGAAAAACTATAAACATGATTTCTATACTTAAAACATTAAACATCAACTTTTTGAAGAAAGTACATAGCTTCAAAGTGCATACCATGTACTATACATTTTAAACTATGTATTTATTTTTATTAAATTCAGAGTTCATTCCAAAAATTATCTCAGTCTAAATTCAGTGCTTATGCAAAGTCACTAATTTTGAAGTCTCCTCTTCTGCCTCCTCCATACATATAGAATAGAAGCACTAGAAAAGCATGGCTTTTTCTTTGAAGAGATAAAATTCATATGCAAGCATAGTGTATGAAAAGATATATATTCCACAGGAATCTCTTCTTTTTTTAGTTTTACCGAAAGCAGTATTTTTGCAGTTATACATTCCAATATTATAATACCATGCAAGTGAAATGAGCAATTCTAGTTTTGGAGAAATTTTCTTTCAAATTCCTTTAAAACATGTCCATATCTTTTTTTTTTTTTTTAAATCTGTGCTTAAATAAAAAACAAAATCTGAAATGTTTGCAAAAGACTTCCACACATAGTTTACCTTACTACACTGTAGGAAATGAAGCCTTGAGTTAAACCTTTTGTAGAAAAGGTCTCATACATATCAATGAGGAAACACAAAGACAACAATGGTGAAAAAGCTAAGGGTGTGAACAGAAAACTAAAAAGAAGAGCTACTGCTCAGAGGACTTAAGGACTTAAAGTCATGGCACTCAAGAAAAGCAAACTAAAACAAAATATCAATATTCATCTTAATTAGCATGTTAGGTGTTTGTTGTTGTTGCTTGTTTGTTTTAGACAGAGTCTCACTCTGTTGCCCAGGCTGGAGTGCAGTAGGGTAATCTCGGCTCACTGCAACTTCCACCTCCCATATTCAAGCAATTATCCTGCCTCAGCCTCCCGAGTAGCTGGGACTACGGGCGCACACCACCATGCCCGGCTCATTTTTGTATTTTTAGTAGAGATGGGGTTTTGCCACGCTGGCCAGGCTGGAGGCTAGAAACCTCTAATCAATGTGTCTGCCGGGACATGCTCTCTCTAAAGGTACTAGGACAAGATCCTCTTTTGCTTCTTTCTGCATCTAGTGTTTACTGGCAATCCTTGACTTAAATTTAGCCTAAAGCTGCCTCTTTACATATTTTAAGTTTGAAAACACCTTTGCAAAGATTATGGCAGTAAAAGAAGTCTGACATGGGCCAGGTGCGGTGGCTCACGCCTGTAATCCCAGCACTTTGGGAGGCCGAGACGGGCGGATCATGAGGTCAGAAAATAGACCATCCTGGCCAACACGGTGAAACCCCGTCTCTACTAAAAATACAAAAAATTAGCCAGGCGCAGTGGCAGGCGCCTGTAGTCCCAGCTACTCCGGAGGCTGAGGCAGGAGAATGGCGTGAACCCGGGAGGCGAAGCTTGCGGTGAGCCAAGATCGCGCCACTGCACTCCAGCCTGGGCGACAGAGCGAAACTCCGTCTCAAAAACAACAACAACAACAAAACAAAACAAAACCCAAAACACCCTAGCCTCTGAGTTCTTAGACTGATTTGAATGATAACTCCAGTTCTCCCATATGCCTGGGCTTGTGTCAATTAAACTCTGTCTTTATTGCAATGCCATGGTCTCAGTGAATTGATTTTTGTCTGTATAGCAGTGTAGCAAGCAGGAAGAACTGATTAGGTGACGTCAAGTTCAGCCTAAAGGTTTCTCCATACATAGTGAACAGTAGCTAACTGTACGTGTAAACAGAGTGTAACTTACTCTTCCAACAGTCACAGAGATTTAGCACATCATTGGTAGCCAACTGTTCAAACCCTGCTTAAATAAGAGAAATGCCAAGCTATAGCCAATCCAGCTGTTTCTGTACCTCACTTCCAATTTCTGTAGGTCAGTTTCCTTTTTCTTTCCATAAATCCTCTCCAACCACATGGTAGTGTGGTGCTAGATTGTCTCTGAGCTTGTTCTGATTGAAGGGGTAGGGCTGCCCAATTCACAAATCATTATTTGCCCAAACAAGCTGTATTACATTTAATTTGTCTAAAGTTTTTCTTTCAACACTTAGCATTTCTTGGCTTGCAGCTGCATCACTCCAATTCCTGCCTCCATCTATATACAATGTTCTTTCGACTGTGCATGTGTGTTCACGTTTCCCTCTTCTTACAAGTACACCAGTCATTGAATTAGAGACCACCCTAATTGAGTATGACTTCAGTGTAACTTGATTGCATCTACAAAGGTCCTATTTCCAAATAAGGTCATATTCTGAAGTTGTCTCCAGGGAGACACAACTTTGTGCTATTCAACCTGTATAATTAACAAGAATTTTTACTTAATGATCTGTCCACTGTTTGGAATCAAACAGTGTTCATCTGTCACTCTACATCCAAACAGCCGCAGCCTGACATTTTCGCCTTCTGAATCTGACTTTTCCTCACCATTACCTCTCCGTCTGTCTCTATGTTCTCTCCTCCACACCACACCAGGATGACCCTTCCAAACCTCAATCATGGAATGTCACCCCTTTGCTCAAAATCTGTCTAGAGCTTCCCATCACGCTTAGAATGAAGTACAAAGATTTTGCCAGGTCTTACAAGGCCTTACATACTCTATACCCTGGGTCCCTCTATGACCTCATTTCTAACCCACTTCACTTTGTTCACTCTTCTCAGGTAGCTCTGACCTTTACGTAGATTCTCTCTGTTACCACCTCTCATCATTTTCACTTGCTGTTTCCTGTCTGGAATTTTCTCCCTCAACACTTTACCATGGCTGGCTAATTCACTGTGTCCAGATCTCTGCTCAAATGCCACTTCTTCCATAAGTTCTTCCTTTTAGTGAGTTATAGGTATGCAGTACTGGAACATATGCAGGAGTACAACCTAAATAGGAAACGAAGCACTACCTGATTAAACCAGACCAGCAGGCTTCACCCCTCCAAATTTGATGTTTCTAGTAAACTGCATTGGAGAACGCAGTTTAGATCTGAAGCAGAAGTGAGACTTCCTAGTCCCTTTCCTCTGAACTGAAGGCAGCTGATTCCATAGCCTGGGCCCAATATGAATTGATCACCCAGTTGCAGGAAGTTGTATCTGAGTCAGAGAACAGTGGTTCTCTCTTCTATGTGGGTAGGCCTGCCAGGTATAAATACCACTCAGCCACACCAAACACAATGGAGCCACTTGTGCCTGGATGCAAAAAGTAAACTAAGTGTGGCATATCCTCCAGCTTGAACCATAAAGCATAAAGAGCCTACCCAACAATCAATATGTATCAATGAATGTCAAGTTCTAAGTTACCAGAATTACCATCTCTTCTATGAGACAGTATTATAGGTTGAATTGCGCCCCACCAAAAAATGTTTAAGTACTAAACCCGAGAACCTACGGATGTGATCTTCTTTGGAAATAAGGTCGTTGCAGATGTAATCAATGTAAGATGAGATTGACCTAGCACAGTGGCTCACACCTGCAATCCCTGCACTTTGGGAGGCTGAGGTGGGTGGTTCACAGTTCAAGAGATCGAGACCATCCTGGCCAACATGGTGAAACCCCATCACTACTAAAAATACAAAAAATCAGCTGGGCGTGGTGGCATGCACCTGTAGTCCCAGCTACTCAGGAAGCTGAGGCAGGAGGATCACTTGAACCCAGGAGGCAGAGGTTTCAATGAGCTGAGATCGTGCCACTGCACTCCAGCCTGGCAACAGAGCAAGACTCCATCTCAAAAAACAAACAAACAAACAAACAAAAAACAATGTAAGATAAGATCGTACTGGATTAGTGTGTACCCTGGTGCAATGACTTGTGTCCTTATAAGAAGAGATACATTAGGACACAGAAACACACAGGTGGGCAAAAGACCATGTGAAGACAGAGGCAGAGATTGGTATGATGCAGCTGCAAAGCCAGGAATGAATGCCAACTGCCAGCACCCACCAGAAGCTAGGAAGAGGCAATGAAGGATACTTTCCTAGAGCCTTCAGAAGAAGGCATGGCCCAACCAACACCTTGATTACAGAATACTAGCCTCAAGAACTATGAAATAATAATTATGAAATAATAAGGCACCCAGTTTGTGGTACTTTGTTATGGCAGCCCTAAGAATCTAATGCAGGATTGAAAAAGGAATGGATTGGAGAGAAAATATGGAAGTGTTCCTTCCCTTCCAACTCTCCCTCAAGTGGGGAAAGATATTTTTGTAGAAGTTTTATTAAACCTATTAGTAGAAGCAAAAATTCAGGAGAAAAACAGGGAAGTTCTCACTCTCCAATATTTTATTTCTTCATATCCCATTGGGTGAAATAGCCAAGCCTATGTTTGGGCATGCATTTCTCTTGGGGAGACCAGCTGAGCATCTGGGCCAGCCTTCCCCACCTTCATGAGCCTGCTTATGTCTGTTCCCCTGTGTCTTCCTTACTCAGTGAACTGGGGAGTTTAGCACTGGACCCAGTGATCTTTGAAATAGGTCAGAAAGAGACAGAAATTATCTAATTCTATAGACATGGTACAACCTACGCCAAAAAATCGTTTTCTATTTCCTATTTCAAAATGTACTCAGCCATTAGTCTTAAAACACTCACCAGAGATTGGTTATGAAATAACATCCTCAGCCCAGTTTTTAAATGAACCTTTCACTTCCATTATTAAATCCCAGAAAGAAATTAAAGTCCAAAAGTAAAGTTTCTGTCCATATTTTAAATTTAAGTTTAAAGAAATTGAAGCTCAGTATTGTTTCCTTTCTAATTCTGTTTTCACCTCAGTCTCAGCATCAGGGTCTACCTGGTGCCTATGGCCAGGACTACCTTCTCCTGGAATGGCTTAGTTCCTTCAATCTTTTAAGAGTTGATTTAATCCAACATAGTCTCATGTGTCGCACTGGTGAGAGGACAACTCAGGAGGTTTTGGGTTTTGGGTTTTCCCTGGGTTCTTCCAGGGAAGTCATTCTAGTTTGTTTCTTGTGATCTTGTCTCTTTTATTATTAGCAGTAGTAGTATTGTTAAAATTAATAATAATATTACCATTATTGTAATTCATATAATAGCATATTTATGCTTTAGGCACTAGTCTAAGACTTTTAGACATTTTATCTCATTTAATCTTTCCAACAATCTTGGGAGATCCAATTCTTAATATTCCTGTTTTATAGATGAGGAAACAATGGCACAGAGACTTAACCAATAACAGCAATAGCTGAGGTCCGAATCCTGGCAGTGTGGCTCCAGAGGTCACAGTCTTAACGATTATACAACATTGCTTTTACAAACCATGTTTGATTTGGGGGGGATCCAGTCATAAATTTTGATCAAGAGACAAATAAATTTGACCTCTTTTTCTGAGCAACATGTTTCAAAACAGTTGGATGGGCATATCTCATTAACTTATTTTTTTTCTTTTCCAGCTTGACATCTAAGTTCTCAACATTTTTCTTAATTGCCTGTGCTTCTTTTAGTTCCATCAACAAGACTTCTTTCATTTGTGCTTTGGAGTGTTGCCACTCTTTCTAGAACAACTAGTTTTCTTTCATATCTGACTTGCCTTTAACATTTTCCATGAGATGTACAAATACATATATATCTATGTAAAATCATTATTTAAAGTATCTAAAGAAAGTATCTAAAGAAATAATGATCAAGTACAAAGTTCACTAATTTTTTTTTTTTTTTTTTTTTTTTTTTTTTTTGAGATGGAGTCTCACTCTGTTGCCCAGGCTGGAGTGCAGTGGCGCAGTCTTGGCTCACTGCAACCTCCACCTCCCGGGTTCAAGTGATTCTCCTGCCTCAGCCTTCAAAGTAGCTGGGATTACTGGCACCCAGCATCAACTCCAGCTAATTTTTGTATTTTTGTAGAGACAGGGTTTCACCATTTTGGCCAGGCTGGTCTTGAATCCTGACCTCAGGTGATCCACCTTTCTCACCCTCCCAAAGTGCTGAGATTACAGGCGTGAGCCACCGTGCCCAGCCGAAAGTTCACCATTGTTAAGCGACATTGTTTTGTGTTTTTTTAGATGCAGGTACTTCAACCAATTCTTTTTATTTCATATTCTTCATATGATGGAGTTGTTTTTTTTTTTTTTTTTTTTTTTTTTTGAGACGGAGTCTCGCTCTGTCACCCAGGCTGGAGTGCAGTGGCGCCATCTCGGCTCACTGCAAGCTCCGCCACTCAGGTTCATGCCATTCTCCTGCCTCAGCCTCCCGAATAGCTGGGACTACAGGCACCCGCCACCACGCCCGGCTAATTTTTTATATTTTTAGTAGAGATGGGGTTTCACCGTGTTGGCCAGGATGGTCTCTATCTCCTGACCTCGTGATCCGCCCGCCTCAGCCTCCCAAAGTGCTGGGATTACAGACATGAGCTACCGCGCCCAGACGATGGATTTTTTAATAAAGTATCAAAAGCTTTTTCAGAGAACTTTATTTCTTTGAGGGAATCCCAAGTATGAAAGGTAGTCAATTGAAAATATAACAAAAAACAACCTACATAGATATATGCCATTTCTGAGATCAAAGAACTTCTTTAATCCATTCCCTTTTACAAATGTTTTTTAAAAGAAAAATCTATGTGCTTTATTATGACACCAACCATGGTCATTGCCCAAGTCCTTTAAAAAAAAACCACAAGTCCTGGCAGTTGTCCATATTCTGTCTGATATTTCCCTATGCACCCAGTTCCGATAGGCAGTTTTCTCAGTTGAAAGAGGATGAGTTAGGAAAAGTCTGATTTTGGAGTCAAGCTTCCACTTATACCTCCACAGTTATTTTCAAAAAAACTTACACAATTCTAAATCATGCAAACCATTGTATTTCATAGTATGTATATTGTACAAATAGCAAATAAGTCTATCCATTGTATAAGAAGTTAAAATTTTTTATGGCAGTTCTCTTCTGAAATTCCTTTTAGTTAGCAGTTTAACCATCTTTTAAAAGGAGAAAATAATATAAACTCACAAAAAAGTTGTGGGGAGGTTTTCAGATTATACAATCTATTTTTATCTAAGACCTACAGCAAAGTTGTACTTTCCCTTTTAAATGAAAACTATATTTCTCTTTCACTAACCTTTGAGTTGGGTTTTTCCATAGCAATTTTGTTCAGAAAAAAAAAAAAGAAGCGATTATGTTATGATGTAAAAACTAACTGGTATCATAAGCTTTTAGAATTTACTGAGTACTAGAATTTGACTTTCATTTCTCTCCTTCAACTTCTAATTTAATAAACTTAAATTTGTATGTAGCTGTTCATCACAGTATAACAAATTACCCCAAAACTTAGGCGACTTTAAAACAATAGAAATTGATTGTTCTCACAGTTTCTGTGGGTCAAAACATTTGGGAACACATTAGTTGGACAATTCTGGCTTTGGGTCTGTCATGAGGTTGCAGTCAGGAAAGTGAGTGCCAGTCATCTGAAGGCTTGACTGGGCTGGAGGTTCCACTTCAGAGGTGGCTCACTCGCATGATTGCCACGTTGTGGCTGGATTTTGGCAGGAGGCCTCCCTTTATCCCCATGTGAGCCTCTCCACGGGCTGCTTGAGTGTCCTCATGACATAGCAGATGGCTGACTCTCCCCAGGGCAAACAATACAAGAGAGAGGAGCGTGGCATCAGCAATGTCATCTATGACCTAGTCTCAGAAGTCGGATGCTGTCACTTCTGCCACATTCTTGTTAGAAGCTAGTCACTAATTCTAGATTATTTTCAAGAGAAGGGAAATTAGGCTCCAATTATTAAAGGGAAGGATGCCAAAAATATGTGGACATATTGTTAAACCACTAAAGTATTACTTACTTTATCCCTTACTTATTGTAAAGAAAATTTAACATAAACCTAAAATTCTAGTAATAGGTAATTTATCTTATTCTCAAAATATTTCCCCAAACTTTTTCAAGAAACTTAACAACGCTATATATCCTGAAAAATCTTTCTCATATTTTTATTATTTTTCAGCGTAGAGGCCTATTTCTGTTTGCACCATGAATACAATAGTTGTTAAGCATACTAATGTTTTGACGTACTAGATTGTGAAATTCTTTACTAGGATTTGAGACCTGAGATTTGTTATTGCTGTTGTTGATCATTTACCTCTACAGGCTCAGAGTCTGCATTGTGTCTGTTACTTGGTCAGCACTCAATAAATGTTGAATAAATACATGAAACATCTATATTCCTTTGTTTTGTTCATTATTCCTTGATCTAGCATTTCCCATCATATTCATAAAAGAAAATAAGGCATTTTATGAAAATATTATAATGTGTGCCCTAGAAAGTTGTGGAGATATATGATAATTTATATCTATATATGATAATTATAGATAGCTAAATGGAGAGAATGGAATATCTGAGAATATGATTATGGGACGGTTGGTCATGGCAATGTCTAAGACCATAGAAGTGGGAAGTTGGCATGAGGTGGAGGACAAGATCATTGAAGGAGAAATAAAATAACTGAGAGGCCAGATTTCTCATAAGTATACTGTAAGACAGACTCCAGAAAACCATTTATACCTAGAATTCTCTATTCATCCAAATAATTAATCAGATATGAGCAAAAATCAAAGATCTGTTAGCATGCAAGAACTTAGAGAGCAAACTACCCATATACCATAAATAAAAGTAGACTAGGCTAGACTACAGAAAAATAAAATATATAACCCCAAACAAACCAAAGTGTTGTCCCCAAAATGCCAGCACCTGAGTATGACTCAAAAGAAGTAAAGAAAGCTAGAAAAATATTAAAATAAAATTTATTATATTCAGGCACTTGTGAAATTTTTCTTCAAGTGGTAAAGTTTAAATGACATGGTATCATATTTTCTCTTTTCTTTGACATCAATCACATGACACCATGAATTCTACAGTGGATTAATCCTTCCATGCTTTGTACATAAGTTGATTATACAAATTGAAGTCAAATACTCAATACTTATAATTTGAGATATGAAAAATAGTTTCAGCAAAAATATAAGAATTATAATTCTTGACAGTGTAAAACAATTATATAACTAAAAGACAATCAAGAACAGAGATGGAAAGAAGTCCAAAGTAAGTGCATTAATTTATTCATCTTTCAGAGTAGAAGATAGTAGCTATTTCAATACAAATAGGGAGTTCAAATGCATCATTCAAGGAGAACTAATATTGAGGCTATAAACAATAATTTTGAAAGTAGAAGTGCAAGTAAACTAAATTCCTCATACTTCATAGCAGGTAAATGCAGCAACAAAGCGAGGTAAATGATTACCATATTTAGTTATAACCATAACCACAAAAAGAGCAAAAACAAACCACTGAGAGTAGACGCCTTTGGAAAATGAAACAGAGCACAGGGCTTAAGAAGAATGATTAGTATATATTTTCTGCTCTTTCAATTCCTTAAATTAAAAAAAAAAACTTTGAAATATATGTTTTTTCAATCCTTTTGAAAAGTGAACTCTAAAGAATCTGGAGAGTGGGGGAGTATTTGGGGTGGGAAGAAAGCCACATGATTAATTTCAAACGTACTTCCTTGTGTGTCCTTTTAGGATATAAACAATTGCAGGTTTACTTAGATTTATATGGACTTAAATCATTTTATCCTATTGTGGCAATAATGAATAAATATCACTGTTTTTTTTTCTTTTGAGGCAGAGACTCATTCAGTCGCCAAGGCTGGAGTGCAGTGGCACGATCTCAGCTCACTGCAAGCTCTGCTCCCTGGGTTGAAGTGATTCTCCCTCCTTAGCCTCATCAGTAGCTGGGACTACAGACATGTGCCACCACAGCAGGCTAATTTTTGTATTTTTAGTAGAAACATGGTTCACCATGTTGGCCATGCTGGTCTCAAACTCCTGACCTCATGTGATCTGCCCACCTTGGCCTCCCAAAGTGCTGGGATTACAGGCGTGAGGCACTGTGCCCTGCCTAAATATAACTATTCTTTAACTTTAAAAATTACCTGCTAATCTCACTTTTTCGTCTCTCTTTTTTTTATCATTATTGGTAGTGTCAAAATGTCCTTTTTCAAAAATAAGTAAGAAAGAGAGAGGGGAAAGTCAGAAACTCAGAGATCAAATCGAAGTTTGAAAAAAGAAGATCTGAGAGTTTGTCGTACAGAATAGAAACAAGATGAGTCATAAACAGCATCTATTGCCATAATGATAAAGCATGTATTTTAAAGTAATTTTGCTATCAATGTGGTTTTTAACATATCTCAGTGGGACATTCATAAACATATTTATCAAACACTGTCAAATAAGTTTTGTTATTAGATGATTCTTGATGTTGCATTTTGTAATAAATTATGAATAATTAAATAAATGTAACAAATTAATTATAACTATTATGCAGATAAATGATTACTGACACAATTAATTGTTCAAATGAAAGATTACTGATATGTTCAATTATAAATATGTTGACAAAATATATTAGTTCTAGTGAGTCACAGTTCTGATTTGGAGCACTCTATTCTGCTCATTTGAATTAAGACAAATTAGGAAAATAATAAGAAAAAAATTTCCTTTATTTTTCATTCTGTACGTGACCATTTCTATCCCTCTCTCTTTCTGTTAATTCTTTTAACTGTATTATCAGTTCAAGATCAGGGAGGTGTCCTTTAGAGTAAAATAACAAACATGAAGAAGCTTTGATATGGTTGAACCAGAGATCTTTTTTCCTATTTATTTGTTCATTTTCTTTCTTATACATGTGAACGCTTTTTTTCAAAATACTTTTTGTTTGTTAAGATAACTTTCTTTCTCACTGATATGAGAAGATTCTTCTTAAAAAGCATGATTTTTTAAAAAGAGGAGTGGTTTTATATGTATAAGTGTATATTTCCGTAATTTGTCTTATATTACAACTTTGGCCTTTTATCTTCTGTTCTTAAAGTAAAAGTATTTGTTTTGTTGAAGAAACATTAGTTCTTAGTACTTTGGCCATTGTTTTCAAGTTTCACTTATCCATTTGTTCCTTATAAATCCAGAGAGAATGATTAGCTGCTTCCCAGTGTTTATCTCCATGTGGAAAATTCCAACATCATAGGTTGAAATCAACTCAGGATATGGAGTTGCGATCATGTCATCAGATGTTAACTTTAGGTAAGCTGTATTGAAAGAGACAATTAATGTGTTAAATTGTTGTCCTAAAGTAAATTAATATAAATATAAATGCATATTTATTTAAAAAAGACAATTGTGTATTTTTTAATGAATGAGAAGATTCTAATACTTCAAATTATATCTCAATATTAATGTTTGCTTGTTTGCCTTTATTGATATAAAATTTAATCAATTTAGCTTGAATTTTATAGGTGATGTAGGGGAGATTAATATAAAGTAAAATTTTCAATTTGGAAGTAAAACTATGATGCACAGTAAAAATGGCAATTTGTTTTGGAATAAAATGGATAGACGTCAAGGATTTTAAAGCAAGTATCTTAAGCTAATTGGCAGACAATTTTTAATTTTGCAAAGAAAAGCTGGACATTTTCCTTGGATGAAATTTATGAAATAAAGTAAAATGGATTGGAATTAAGAAGAATTAATTAATTACTCCAAGGAAGCCTTATTCTTATTTCCCTTTAAACTGCCAATGAAACACAGAAAAGCATAGGAAAACTGACAACATTGAAACCTAAGACTCTTGGACTACTTTGTGCCCTAATCTGGAAGTAAATTCTGCCAGTATAAGGATGCTAGCAAATGATTAGGAGAAAATAATTCAAGCTTTTCCACACATATATGCTTCATTTTGTTGAAAGAGATGAAAAACTTTTTTTAAAAAAGCCTAAAAATAGCTTTTATAACTGCCCCTCTGTGCATAAAATCAGCAGGCAAACCAACTTCGCAGTCCTACTCTATGACATGGCAGAGAACAGCCACCCAAACCTTTCCCTTATTTGTTTCCAACATGTTCACAAAGACTTCCAATATGTAGGGGCAACTGGTAGTAGCACTTTGACCTAAATAATGTACTGTTAGGGCTGGGTACAGGCTCGCACCTGTAATCTCAGCATTTTGGGAGGCCAAAGTGTGAGGATTGTCTGGGTCCAGTAGTTTGAGATGAGTCTGGGCAACATGGCGAGAGTCCTTCGCTATAAAAATAAAATACAGTGAAATCAAATAAAATAAAGTATTGTTAACAAAAGTAAAAAATTACAGTTACATATGGGGAAAAAAGCCTGGAGATAAAAATTCTTCCTGGGTCCCACTAGTTTAAAGTATCAGAGAACCAGTGGGTTAAGGGAAGAAAACTATGCCATAAGACAATAGAAACATTTGGTGAACATCAGCAAAAACCTAGAAATGAGGCTGATCTGAGCATACCAGTCTGCATTTCTGTTAGAAATTTGAAAAGTTTACCAGGAGTAGGACCTCAGCCATTTATTCTCTAGTCTGTTAATAAACACTGAGACTTAGGACTGAATCTTTTGTATGGGAATTTGTAACACACACAGAAAATGTTGGACCTCTAGGAGGAATATTTGCTAATGAGAGAGTAGTAACTATTAGGTTCGTGCAAAAGTAATTGTGGTTTTTGCCATTAAAAGTAATGAAATGATTAGAAGGAATATATTTCTAATAATACAAGATCCTAAAGAAAGTTTTAATAAGTTAGTATTATCATCAAAAGTGTCATGACTTCTATGAAGAGAAAGTCACAGAAAAATAATAGAGAAACCAAAAGGTAGTGCTATGCAATGAAAAAGTTATAAAATAGAAGAAAAGAGGAGGGTAAATACAATATAATGGAAAGGAAAATGCTAAGATTAGAAATTTTCTGCAGGGAAACTCAAAATGTAATGATTAACTTAAATTCTGCACTAACAGCCAGAAACAGCAAAATTTATACCGTAGAAAATTTTATCAGTCTTGTAGAACAGTGTTTCCTCACAGGTTAGTGTGCATGGAAATCATCCAAGGTTCTTATTAAAATACAGATTCCAATGCACTAGTTCTCTCTGGGCCCAAGATTGTGCATTTCTAACAAGCTCTCACAACTACTGGTCTAAGCACCATGTATTGTGTAACAAAGCTGTGAAGAATAAACTTGCAGAGTAAACTGGAAATGGACAAACATAAAATAATTAAAGAGAAGATGATAGCTATGAATGACAATGAGCATGCGGATGTTTGTGTTTCCAAAGAAGAGATCAGAAAAGATGGAACAGTAGCAATAACTAAATGTACAGCTAAAGAAAAACTTCCTGATATTGACAGAGAACTGAGAATGCAGAAAAAAGGTATCACCATTTTCTGTGCAAAATTCAGTGAAGGGGTTAAAAATCTATAAACCCAGAAGAAGACAGAATGATCTTTGCTTGTGCAATCTTTAATAAATAAGACATTTATATTAGTTTAATGAAAATAGCTATGCCTCGAATTTAGTAAGATGACCATAACTTCTAATCTTGTGGCTTTAGGCAGTCTACTCCACTGGCAGTAAGGTTTATTATTGCCTTTGTTTCAAAGCTAAACTATAAACTAAGTTCTTCCCAAAGTTAGTTTGGCCCACACCCAGGAATGAACATGGACAGTCCGGAGGTTAAAAGCAAGATGAAGTCAGTTAGGTCAAATCTTTTTTACTCTATCAGTTATAATTTTGCAATATCAGTTCCATAACTTAAATGATGACTATCAGAGTTTTCATAAATAATCTAGGTAAGCAAATAAAATAAAATAATTAGGTAAATGTAATGGGATAAATACTTGTAGACAAATTCACCATAACTTAGAATCTAAAATTATATTAAATTAAATAATAGATATTTCATTATTTGGGTATTTTCCAATAAAATAGATTTGTAGGAAAACATTCTTTCTAAAAAAAAAAGTGTGTCCTTTCTAAAAAGGTGAATAATTTTTGTCTAATTCAAATCTTATTTAAAGGTCATGTATAAAACAAGGTAAAAGGAACCAGGAAACAGAAGAGATGTAAAGAAAGTTATAAAAATAAAAAGGGTTTTTCAGGTGTTTTGGGGGGGAAGAAAGCTTAAAGAGAAACAGTTTCGCATAAGAAAGAATCTTGTATGGTACATTTAGCCCTAGAGTAACATGACTGGTTATTTAAGAAGGAGGGATGTTCAGGAGAAACCAGAAACTCCAAGCATGTCATGAACAGTCTGTGTAAGTCAAAATAAGAGGATTTTTTTTAAAAAAATAAACTTTTATATAATCAAATAGTCACATTATTATTAAGTTTTGGATTGCTTAGAAAAAAACCCTGAGATTTAAATATTATTTAAAATTAAGATTATTACCTTCAAGCATCTCTCTGTATGCACTTTTAAAGTACTTGTGGCATTGAATTACAGGGCTTTGGCTCCTGAGTCTGAAAAGGGATTACAGGCACAAGCCAGCATGCCCAGCTAATTTTTGTGTATTTAGATAGTGACAGGGTTTTGCTATGTTGGCCAGGCTGGTCTCGAACTGCTGATCTCAGGTGATCTGCCGCCTTGGCCTCCCAAAGTGCTAGGATTACAGGCATGAGCCACCGCACCCGGCCGTTTTAAGTCTTCACTCAATGTTTTAGAGAGGCCTCTAAATTAGTCACCTCTGATATTTCCTCGCATAGCAACCTCTTCTTTTCCTTCATTGGACTTTTTTTTTTTTTTTGAGACAGAGTCTTGCTCTGTCTCCCAGGCTGGAGTGCAGTGGCATGATCTTGGCACATTGCAACCAAGTCCTGCTAAATTTTAAACACTAACAGCAATCGAAACCCCATCATCAGGCCCACTAGAAGATGTCAATCAAAATAAACTGCATTCCTGAAACACAGGGCCAGAAATTAAAGCTATTCAAGTCCTCAAGGCCCAGGGATCATTGAGGAAGAGGGGGGCATGTAAGATTGTAAGGGCCAATTTTGAGAGCTAACATAAGTTCACTTTCTCTATAAATTAATCATTAATATCTAAGGCACACTGATGCAAGGCCAGCACATGGGCCTGTTTCAGATTAACAAGGTTTTCCTGAAGCATTAGTCAACTCCTACATAAAGGTTATAAAGGTTAAGAAAGGTATATGGAAGTTATATCTCATGGTCAAGATTAAAATTTTATAGATGATTGTTTATAAAATTTTGAAAAACAAATTTAATCAGCTTGATACTGTTTTTATTAGGACTTATTATTTGGAAAATTGAGTCTCCTCTCCAAAAGAATGAAGGTTTTTGCTGGTTTTTTTTTTTGAAATGCTTGAGGTATCACTTTTGTCAAACAAATGACTTATTTTACAATGACCTGTGATATCAAGTGTTTTACACCTTTGATATTTGACAAGCTTTCCAAAATCAAATGATAAATTATGCCTTTTTCTGATCTAACTAATCCTTCAAAATATTGGATTCCTTAACATCCAAAAATGACATAATTTGGCTTACTTGGTATAAAAATTATACAGGAAACATTGTCAAATATGAAATGGTGTTTATTTTTCTTTAGGCTGTATTTGTATGAATACATCATTGCTATGTCTTCCAAAATCATGGGAAACTCCTATAATTCTGATATGACTTAGTGTACATTATCAGTAATAATTATAATTGTTATGTTAAATTGTTGTGTGCCACAGAAGTAACAAATTTGCTTGTAAATTGTGTCTTTGACTATGGTTGCCCTAAAACATTTTGTCATCCATGGACAATTGTTGTCTTGTTTTGGTCCTCCTTAGAAGGTGGTTTTATAATCATTTATAGAACTCTAACAGGTGTCCTTAAAAGCAGATTTCTGATAACTTTGGAGATTGTGACATTACAATAGAGGAAGAAACTTTCAAGACTCTCATGGAGAGCTGAAATGTTCATGAATATCAAGGAGAACAGGAATAAAATGCATGAACTGAACTAGTAGAAGACAAAGTAATCTTTTTAACTTTTTGGATAAAACATTGCTGATTCTTTGTTTTTTTTTTCTCAGAGTCAAGAAAACTTTTAAGCTATTTACAGCTTTTAACAATTAAGTATGTTCCTACAAACAAAATTTGGAGCATATTTATTTCTCTCTACTGATTTCTCCAGAATTTGTAAACTATTTGTGAGTATTCTTATGACAATACAGTTATCTGCATAAGTGCGATAAAAATCTGTTGGTTGGGTGTGGAGGCTTACACTTGTAATCCTGGCCCTTTGGAAGGCTGAAGTGGGAGGGTCATTTGAGCTCAGGAGTTTGAGACCAGCCTGAGAAACATAATGAGATCTCATCTCTTAAAAAAAAAAATCTGTTTTTATTTGTAACAGGACACAGTTGGAGAAACTGGTTGTTTTACCAAGGCTTTGACTGGAATGATGTGCTTTCCTTTAAGGAATCAAGCTTGACTTATGGAGACAATAAAAGTCCCTTGGAAAAACTGGCCTCATACCTTGGTCTACATAGCTCCTGATCTGCGGTAGGTAAAGAATGTCACTTTCTGACAGGTTCAGGAGCCCTAGGTTTATCTTGGAAAGTCAAGAGGAGAAGATCACCCAACTTGTAGGTATTTAATGACACAAATCCATGGCTGGGCTTGGCTTTAAAAAAAAGTCTTATCTGAGATTCCTTCTATGGAATAGAGTTCCATCAAAGCCAATTTAAAAACCTATGCAAAAAAAATAATTATTCTTGCTGCACTGTATACAAATAATCAGGCCAAGTGTAATAAAACAAATCAGTTCTGCCAGGATTTGCCTTTAGTAAAAATGGGAAACTGGAGAGAGAAAAACTATGTTTCAAAAACTATAGTATACCTGTTTTTAGATTCTAGTCTTGCCTAACATTTTTCAATTTTTATTTTTTTCTAGTTTAAACCTAATTCTAATTTTTCTTAACTACAAGTCTTCAAAATAATGTTTTCAATTTTTTTCTGCTCTTTTTCCCCATTATTCCTAATTTGGAGTCACTGAAAACTAAACTGCTTTTGTAAAGCCCTATGAACTGAAGCTAGACAACTTAAACTTCAGAAGAAAATAACAGCAACCTATTTACATGCATAAGCTACTTTCATACCTGCCTACTGAAGGCTTCAGAGTAATGTGGCCTATATCAATTTTCTAGGATTGTCCTTTTGTTTGCTGCTGTTTTTCTCCCTTCCTCTCCCTATTTTCTCTTCACAGGACATGAGACTTCACAACCTTCCAAAAATGAGCTTTCCTAATAACTTGGTATGTACCTGTCTAAGAGTAAACCATCACAGCCATGAGAGAGCAGACGAAACCTGGGACCAGAGACTCATTTTCTTCTAAAATGCTTTCTCCAAAAGATTTTAATAAAGAAAAGGGGAGAAATGTGAGAGGAAAATATCTTGGGCCCCCCAAATCACTAAGCTAAAGGGAAAATTCAAGCTGGGAACTGCTTAGGGCAAACCTGCTTCCCGTTCTATTCAAAGTCATCCTTCTGCTTACTGAGATAAATGCATATCTGATTGTCTCCTTTGGAAAGGCTAATCAGAAACTCAAAAGAATGCAACTGTTTTTCTCTGACCTACTTGTGACCTGGAAGCCCCCTCCCCTCTTTGAGTTGGCCCGCATTTGCTTCAAGTTGTCTCACCTGTCTAGACCAAACCAATGTTCATTTTACATATGTTGATTGACATCTCATGTCTTTCTAAAATGTATAAAACCAAGCTATGCGTTCTGACCACCTTGGGCACATGTTGTCCAGACCTCCTGGGACTCTGTCATGGGTGTGTCCTCAACCTTGGCAAAATAAACTTTCTAAATTAACAGACCTGTCTCAAATTTTGGGGGTTCACAATACATAGAAACAATTGGAAGGATATGTTCCTGCTCCCTGATGTGGAATTCTGGGAGATTATTTATTTATTTAGAAGACACAGGTGTCATACTCTGTCTCCCAGGCTGGTCTTGTACTCCTGGCCTCCAGAGATCCTCCTGCCTTGGCCTCCCAAAGTGCTGGGATTACATGCATGGGCCACTGCAACCAGCCCAGGAGATTGTTCATTTTCTTCTTTCTTCCTGTTTTTTTTTTTTTCTAAATTTTCTACAGTAAAGGTAAAATGGATCTATTTTAAAAAGTCTAAAAAATAGAAGTCACTAGTAGTGCCTATCACTTGGTACATAAAGATGTCCACTGCCTTATTTCATATTTTACAACAAAAATCTAAAGCGTTTTCAAAATTAAATAGACTCTAATGATGCTCAGGATACGTTAATAACTACAGGGCAACCTGGGACACCATTGCTATAACTTGATCTCTCCTGTTAGAGTAAATTATTTTCTTGTCCCACTCCTGATTTTTTTTAACATTACAAAACTTCCAAAACCTATTAAAAGGAATAAATAAATTAGATTGGGTTTGGTTTTATGCTCTGATCTTTAAATTATTTTTTCAAATCAAAATTCACTTCAATAAAATTAAGGGTAGAAAATATTCTGATTCTATTATTTATATAAATGCCATGACTAGTATATCTATTTTATTGAGCAACAGATTTTTAAAGCAAAAAAAAAAGAATAAAAGGAGATGCTGGAACTGATGTATTTTTTTAGGTACAAGTAATGATAGAAACCTTTTTTTCTAGTGACAAGAAAAGGGACATATATCTTTTTTACTAAAGAGGAAAATAGTGTTTTAGAAAATTTTTAAATATTTTTCCCTAAATGTACTTTAATTTTGTTTTCTGTGGACATTTCCTAAATATAACTGGATATTTGGAACCACAAATTACATGTATTTTCCTACATATATCCAATCTGCAATTTCAACATTCTGTCAAAAAGTTTAGTAAACTTAATGGAACATAATTAATATTCATTCTCATATCAAATTCTCAGCTGACATTTTAGAAAACAACAATAACAAAAACAAAGGAAAAGAAAGTAAAAGAAGGGAAAAAAAGTCATCTCTTCTGATATTTTAGACATTGGAAATAAACATATTGTATTAGAGTTACGTTTTAAGTCCAAAAAAGTCCTTTAGGCATTTTCCAAAATGGAAAAAAAACATTTTATCTCATCTGTATTACATTTCAGATCACCAGTGAACAATTGCTTTTTGGAAACTATAAACTCTAGTTATTTAGGTGGTAACTGCCTTCCTAAAGTAATTCTCACTTTTTCTCAGTATGTGGTAGATTTTTCAAAATGGCAGGAACACGGTCCCCTCAATATCTTTAGATACTTGTTATCTTCCTAAATTTATCTTTCACTCCATAGCCTTTTCCATGTGAATTTGAAGTGTCCTTTTATTCTGATGCTGGGGTCTGCCAGCATTCTGGCAATGGGAGACTAGGTGATGGGATACAGCAGATCTTGAAAAGCACTCATGCGAGTGTGCATGCCTGTGCTTGCCCTCTTCCTCTGCCATGAGAACATGCACCAGCTAGCCTGCTAGAAAACAAGAGACATGGAAAGCACAGCTGAGCCTCCCTAGTTGCCACAATGCTATTACTAAATCAGATGACAGCCAGTTGACTCCTAGACATGACAGCAAGCCCAAAAGAGATCAGCAAAGCCACAAAGCTGACCACCCAAGACACACAAGGAAAAAGCATATATTGTTGTGTGCCACTAAGGTTTTGTGGTTGCTGGCTACATGTCATTATTGTGGCAATATAGAGCTGATTCAGCAGATACATCAGGACTGTGTTGGCACTGTTTTATAATAAAGTGAATTAAAGAGCTTTGGAACATCCTGTACAGAAAGCAATGAAGAGAGAGAGTCTGAAGTGATTATGAAAAGAATATTGAGCAAGAAGAGGAACTTCTTGAGTAAGAAGTGGAACTGAGAGGTGCTCATCATGACATTTAAATATTTCCTGAGAATTCTCAGAAATATTAGGGGTGAGGAGAAAGCTAAATTTCCTATAGCCAAATGTAGCTTGGTGACACAAAATACTGTATTTGGTTATTTAAAAGAAGAGGGGGAGGTAAAACGTAAGAAGGCCAGAGCACCTGGGACCTTGTTTTACTAAAGCTTATTATGGTGAGTTTCTTGAATCCTTAATGCAACAAGGGAGGGAACAAAGAATAGAAAGTAAAGAATGTGCTTCTTTTTCCCATGATTAATAAGCCACCAAGGAGCAGAGACAATATGTTATTTATTTATTTTGTCTCCCACAGTATCTAATACTGTGATTTATGCATAAATTAGCACTAGTATGTGGTTTGTTGAATTCAGCTGGACAATTATGAAATAATTACATTGTAATTCCTTTGAGTTCTACATTAGAGTTCTCATCCAAGATTTTTCTGAAAGCCACATTCAAGTGTTTGAAATTGACACAGAACCCCATGTTTATTTGCATATAGTTCAATTTTAAGATCTAACCAACCTAATCTAACTTCATGTAATTACAAATTTAGTTTCAGTGGCCCTGGTTCCCCATGACAAAAGTACAAAGAGTACCCGCAAGAAGTAAGTTGAAGATAAGGAGTGAGGAGAAGGAAGGTTAGTGGTAAGGCCACCAGTGATTCTAACAGCAAAGGGACAAGAAAAAAGACTGGAACTTTATTTAGAGGATAAAGCTGATGCCTGGCTTGCCATCTTGCCCAGATGGGACCTCAGGTAAGTCATTTAATGTCCCTAAGCTTCCTTTCCTTTAATTACTTCAATTATCTGCAAAAATGAAGTGAATAAATATGCCCTGTTTACTTCATTGATCATAATGAGAATGAATGGATACGGGATATGTGAAAGCCATACAGACATTACACAATGTGATAAACCATCATCCTAACACACAAACCTAATCTTTATTGTGACTCAAGATTAGGGAACACTATGTTTTACATAACATCATGCTGATCTAACTCTAGCTTTATGATGTTAACTAATCTTTTCTAAATCCAGAGAGCATAATACCACCCCTTCGAAAAGAAGTGTCCACTTGCCCTTTGGCCAAGCTGTAAACAGACGCACCAAGAAACTTCCTCAGTGAGGCTGTCATCTTGGCATTAGATCCATGAGTCAGAGATTTTGGCTGGCTAAATTGTAAAGACCACTTTGAATAACTTGCAATTGTCTTGTTTCTTAGACTATGCACACTTTCTCTCTTTCAGTTAACGTTAAAATGATATATGCAATAAATTGCATATTTGAGTAAATGACATACGCAATAAATTACAACATATGCAATAAAATCAATTAGGTAGCCTTTTCTGAAATTCAGTAAACCCACCAGGAAGGGTCAGAGATAAACCCTTGATATCTAGCAAAAACAAATAAAAATAAGATTTTCAACAGATCAGTGGATTTCATAAAAGATAGAACGTATAATATGAAAGAAACACTGAGGGTACATGATCATCTGTGAAGCATAATGTAATGAGAACAATACTGGACTTGAACTAAAAGTTTTGTGTTCACAGCCCAGATTTACTCCCAACTATATGATGTTGAGCAAATTACTGAATGTCGCTTAAGCCTACGTTTTTGCATTTATATAAGGATAATAGTACCACCTACCTTACAATATTACTGAAAAAGATTCAACTGGGCAAGGCTAATTAAATAATAATAAAGTATACCATATTCTTAGTTTCCTTTTTTAAAAAATCTTTCCTGAATTTTGGTTAGAGTAAGTCCTGATTCAAAGGACAGATGTGTGTGTCTTCCTTCCTTGAAACTAATACTGTTTCTGGTGAGCTTTTGCTCATCCAACTCTGTAATAGAAATCCCATATTCTTGCTATAAATAAAGGCCTTTATAATTTGTGACATTTACTTCTTACCTAAATATTCTGCAACTGCAGATCTCAGACTCTGGCTCTGTCACATGAAAAAAGTCTTCTGTGTGCTCACTGCGTCAGCATACTCTACCACCCTTTCTGTATCACCTCATATGGTAGGAGCTTACATAATTGTAAAGTGGTTGCATAGCAACCAAATTATCAAACACCTCCATCCCACTTTTTCTGTCTTAAACCCTCAAACAACTAGTGGAGCATTTTCAGTTAACAACAGTCTTTAATCAGAGGAGAGAAAATTCCAGGTTGCTGATTCAGTTATTTCTTTTTATTTACCTCTATTTTTATATTCACCCGGCTCGTGTGAAAAACAAAAACTGAAGTACTCACAGATGAGGCAGTGTTTAGCATCTAAACACACCATATGCCAAGGGATAGATGTTGTTGTTGCAGCTGTCCAAAGTTAGCCAGGTTAACACTGACAAACAGCTTCCCCCAGAACATGAGAAAACCACGGCCGCCTGCTCCTTGTTGGCTGGTGGAGTGAAACAGACTTTACAGTACACTGGATCAGCTAAACTGTGAATTACAGGTGAACCAAAGCCATTCTGTCAGTCATTCAAGGAAAAATGACTTCACTCAGCTAGAGGACACTCCCTTGACAAAAAAAAAAAAAAGGAAAAAGGACTTGAGAAATCATTGAATCAAGACCTTCCTTGCTCAGTTCAATTGATTTGCCTAAAGTCATAAAAACAGTAACTTAGTCGCAAAGATGTAATAAGGAAAAATCTTCCTACTTGAATTAAGGATTCCTCCAAGGAGGCAGCATGATACTGTTTTAAGAGCACAGGGCATTAAGTATAACCACCTTGGTTTACATTCTATTTCTCAATTACAAGCTACCACCAAGTTAACTTTTAGGGGTTTCAGTTTCCACAATGCTACCTTACAGCATTATTTGGAGAGCTGCATAAGACAATCCACATGATATTCATGTTACTGCACCTTGTGCAAGTTAAGTACATGTTAGCAATTATTATTATTATTATTCGGTGGTCTAGGAAATCCAAATTTGTCTGGTCCAGAAACAAACAAATTGTCCTATGTCTTCAAAAGAATGGAGCATCCTACATTCAATGGAACTGTAAAGTCAAATAAGCTTTAAAAATTTAAAACTATATCTAAATCACTGACTATTTGGTTTAAAATTCTGTCCCCCCTGGTTCTTGGATGACTATTCTAAGTGTTCAACAAATTTCACCAGCTCAAAACAGTAACCACATATAATGTGGAATTAAGAAACAAGAGTTTGTATTTCTACCTAAAACTCTCATTTGACCCTTTAAACCAGATTCCAGTTTTTTTTTGCTTTGTTTGTTTGTTTGTTTGTTTTTTGGTGGGAGGAAAGAGGAAGAAAATGAACAAAACAAAAATATATGCAGTATAAGAAACCCGGTCTAGTTTGAGCCTTGAGCCATGACGTAAACATTCTTTTAAAGAGAAGCTTCCATGATTAATTACTACAGTTTATTTTTTCCCCCTCTAGGAAATCAACAATCAACTAGATGTAACACTTGGGAGAGTTTATTTTTGGCTAGCCTAGTAATTATAGCCAGAACAGAGCAGGGCAGGTAGATAGGAAATATTTTAGAAACTATTTTATCAAAGCATCAGGATTTTCAAAAAGAACAAGGCAGGGGTTCCCTCCCACACTTAAAATAACAATGAAAAACATGGCTGCGGTTAGATTCTTTAAGAAAAAGAATAAGTTTGAGTCTTGCTCTTGGGCCTGGCCACGCTTATCGGTGTTATGCTTTGCATGTCAGATGCTCTCTTCTGTAACAGTCTTCTCTTTGCCTAGTGAGGAGGAAGACTCATTCTTTCTGCAACCTCAAAGAGTTAATCAATATGAACATAAATATTCAACAGATATCAATTGTCCTTTTGCCTACCTCTGTGATACCAGGAATATTTTCTCAAATGACTTCCAAGTGTTGTTTTGCCATGTCTGTAAAAACAGACTGTCAGAAGTGTCTGGATCAAGCAATGGGAGCAGTTAAATAGAGCTTTCACCCCTTTCGTCTTTCTTCTGGAATAATTTCTCTGACTCTCATGCATACAGTGCACACTAGCAGATGCTAGCGTTTTGGCGTTATCTGTGACCTTCTATAAAAGTTGCTACTAAGATGGGCGCAGCAGCTCATACCTGTAGCCCCAACTACTCTAAATGGCTATGGTATTCTCAGGCTAAACTCATTACAGTGTAATAATCTGCTATTCCAAAAATATTTATTTACTTGATAGCACAGTGGACCCTGAAAGGCATTGTAGGTCTTTTTGTTTGATTAATTGCCTGTTCACTTTGTTTTCAAACATCATCAATATAGAAGAGGAAAATGATATTAACAAAGACCATATAGTGCTTAAAGTATGTGAAGCTGGTTAAAATATTCCCAGTTGATATTTCTTTCTCTGGCCATATGAAGAAATTTACAGGCCAGTCATGGTGGCTCACATCTGTAATCCCAGCATTTTGGGAGGCCAAGGCAGGAGGATACCTGGAGCCCCGGAGTTTGAAACTAGCCTGGGCAAAATAGAGAGACCCCCCATCTCTACAAAAATAAAAATAAAAAGGAAATTTACAATTTTTGGCTAAGAGGATATAGTATCATGTGAGAGAACTTTAAAACAAACTTAATCCAGGCAGTGCCACCACCCTCTGCCCCCACCCATCTTCATTAGTACTGGATCAGGAAGTACTTTATACTCAGTTATCTTTGCTTTTCGGTGCTGTGACCTTGTATAAAAGTTGCTACCAAGCTGGGCGTGGTGGCTCATGCCTGTAGTCTCAACTACTCAGGAGGCTGAGATGAAAGGATCATCGCTTGAGCCTGTGAGGTCAAGGCTGCAGTGAACTGAGATGGTGCCACTGCTCTCCAGCCTGAGCAACAAAGGGAGACCATGTCTTAAATAAATAAATAGAGTTGCTACTACTATGTTCAACTGCAAATGTTAGATGAACAGTCATTTAAATGAGAATTGAAGCCCATGGTAAGAAAGACAGGAATTTTTGTGATGAATTAAGTAAAAAAGGTGGTTGGTTGAATTTGACTCACTAAACAATGGTGAGTCAGTTAGGAAGTTGAGGAATGTGGACAAATGAGGAAGAAAAGACCAATAAAGAGCAGGTACATATATAGAAGTGCCAATAATATCAGCTTCTTTTAGCCTAGTTTTTCCTAAAACTTTGGGTACTTAGTAAAATTGTTGAAAAGTTCATTTGAGAATCATCTGGAACAACAGGGATGAACTTTGAAAAATTATGTCAATTGAAACTTTATAATTCCACTTATATAAAGTACCTAGAGTCAAATTCATAGACACAGAAAGTGGAATGGTTGTTGCTGGGGGTTGGGGGAGGAGAAAATGGGGAGTTATTTTTTAATGGGTATAGAGTTTCAGTTTGGGAAAATGAAAAAGTTCTGGAGCTGGATGGTGATGACGGTTACAAAAGAATGTCAATGTACTTAATGCCACTGAACTGTACACTTTAAAACAGTAAATTTTACGTTATGTATATTTTATCACAATAAAAAAGAATCACCTGAAAAAAGATAGCAAAGGAGGAAACTGACTAGGATACAATTGAAAGAACCATGAGAAACAAATAAATATATATAGACCAAATTCCTATTATCATAGTCTGTTTTTACCTTGAAATGTATAGAAAAGTTCAGCAAAAGAGTGCCCCCTTGTGGACCTCTGCGAGGTGGCAACATGCATAATTAATCCTGAATGTCCCTGTACAATTACAAGGCTCTTTTGAATTATACATGCTTGCATTCCTCGATGACAGGGGCCTCAAAAGCCTCCCAAAAGTTAACTCAAGATCAGAGACTGAAGAAAAGGATGCTGATATATTTTGAAGAGATTTCTCTTAATTTCTAAGTTGGCAGAGTCAAGACTATTCATTTCTTGAAGGTTTTTAAAAGTTGAAGTTTAACGGTTGTTATGGAACTGCAACTTAGGATGTTTAAGTTCATGTTGGGTTTCTGGAGGAAGTCTCTCTACAAGAAAAAATATTTGGAGTGTTTTCTGTAGGGGATATCTTTGAAGATTAACCTTCATTCATCACTTCAATTTGTTCTGTTTCTCAGCAAGAATGACTTTTTCGTTACTTCTATTCAACTTTGCTCTTAATAAATAGAAAACTAGAGAAAAAATAAATATCTGTATGACTTCCACAAAGTGGTATAATGTCCTTCCACAATATGTATGTTAACACTTTTATTTCAAGTAGCTTTTTGATGATTATATAATTGTTCTTTTTTTTTAATCTACAGAATTTAATCAACCTCATATAGTGGCCAAGGAACATATTAAATAAGTTTTTCAAGGTCGTTGAAAGAATGAATGGGAAAGCAAGATTAAAATTCTGATATCCCACAGTGATGTTAGCTGGTTGCCAACACTGTTGCTCTACAAATGTAGTTCTTAAGTAGAAACAATTTTTTAGTTGGAATTTCTCAAGGTAATTCTATGATTTTGTGAGGAAAAATGACATAGAATTGACCAAAATTCCTTTTGCAGGCATAGGTTCCTAACTGTGAATATCCTGATTTTGAAGAAAACAGTAGATTAATTTCAACTGCTGGCAGCTTTCACTTGACCTTGCAAAGGTTACAATTATCCAGAAATCTCATACGTAAGTACCGTTTAGTGAAAAGTTCAAATTAAATATCTCTTTACACGTGGACTTCTGTTTCCTTAGGATCTGGAGCCTGAACCAGACTAGTATTGATATAATAACTGTACCTAGCTTAAACAGTTTGTATTGATCCACTCTGAGATGCTTTGGAGACCATTAGTCATAAGTTCACACTGTTATTGTAAAGCTTTACGAACCGGCTATTATCCCTTCCAGTTTTAACTATGTGGAAGTTTTTTTAAAAACTTTTAATTTTGCAACAATTTGAGATTTACAGAAAAGTTGCAAAGATAGTGTAAAGAATTTTTTTATACCTTCAATCAGTGTCTCCTCATGTTAACATCTTACATTATTCTGCTACATTTGGCAAAACTAACAGACTTATACTGGTACATCCCTATTAACTAAACTCCAAATTTTATGTAGATTTCACTAGTTTCTCCACTGATGTTCTTCTATCCCAGATTCCCATGCAGAATATCATATTGCATTTAGCCGTCATGTCTCCTTAGTCTTCTCTTCTCTGTGAAAGTTTCTCAGTATTTTCCTATTTCTCATGACCTTCACAGTTTTAAGGAATATCTATTTTGTAGAATGTTAGCAAGTTCAATTTTAACCAAGAAGATAAAAGTTATACACTAAGAATGTTTTTCTCATGATTAGACTGGAGTTATGGGTTTTCATATCAGGCAGGGGTATATAGCATCAACATAACTTATCACTGGTGATGAGAACCTTGACCACTAGGTTAAGGTTGTGCTTTTCCACTAGAAAGTTGCTATTTTTCCTTTCACTATTCTTTGGGAGAGCATCACTGAGTTCAGCCCACACTCAAGGTGGAAGGGAGAGGAGAGAATATCTGCATATGTTATTTGAAATTTTCTGGAAGGAAAATTTGCCAATTGTCTCCCATTTATTTATTTGTTCAATGATTTCTTTGTACCAGCACAGACTCGTGTGGTGTTTTAAACTTTGGATTATAATTCACTACCACATTATTTATTTCACTGCCCAAATTATTCCAGCTTTGGCCATAGTGGTTTCTTTCAGGTTTGTTACTGTGACCTTTTGACATGCCTTCATTTTTTAGGGGGTGGGGGGTGTTTGTTGTTTGTTTGTTTTCTTGCTTGCTTGCTTTTGAGCACTTCTGGCACTAAAAGATGATCCAGGTTCATCTAGTATTTACCCGATCCCAGCCCTAGAATCAATAATTCCTTCAAGGAGCTCTGATTGATTGTTTCTATTGGTGACTGATATTTAGAAAGCAAGATCTAGAGACTTAGTGTGCTCATTGCTATAGGGTGTCATTGCTTCTAGGCTCTCCCAGCAAACTGAAGTAGGAAACACATGTATGTATGCTAATAATACATATATATGTATATAATCACATCTATAATTATTTCTCTGTCTCTCAATATATATATAGATGATAAGTGGTTAGATAGATGATTAGTAGATATTAATAGATAATAGGGATTCCTACTGAAGTCTCTAACACTAATATATAGTACTACAGAGTTTATTTGAGTCTTCTGTTGAGACTTACTAAAAATCTTGAACTTTACTTCCTTTTATTAACTGAATATTTTTGGTATTATGTTTTATATTAGTAAAGGATGTTTCCCTATTAAGCTGATGCTGGTGTACTTTGGTAGCATAATGATGTTGCAGTATCATTCTCTATAAATCAAGCAAAAATGTCTTGATCCATGTGGCAGACACTGCTGATTATCTGCCTAATATTTCATCTCTTCTTCATTCCACAAATTTTAAGGACAGCACTGTGTCCAGTTAAAAATTCTCCTCCATAGACTCTTTTTAAGGTAGAATTGCCCCCATGTAATCTAGACTTACAAGATGCAGGAGGAAACTTCCTGTAGGAAGCTTGTGGGAATGTCATTGTTTTCGCAATAAAATTCACCTTTGCCCTTCATCCTGCTCTCCTCCTCCCATATGAGACATGCAAATGACATCTGGAGGTGGGGCAGCCATCCTACAACCAAGAGGATAAAAGACACTAGAATGGCAGAGAAGGAAGGGAGAAGGAGCCTGGTCTGATGAGTTCTGTTAGCACCATCTCTAATGCATCATCTTTGGTCTGCCTACCCCTAGACTTCTTGTACATGGGGAAAATGAGCTCATATTTGGCTAAGCCACTTCTGTCTGTTGTGTAACATTCAACACAGTAATCTAACCCCTTGGGAGGAACAGAAGGACATATTTTTTTCTTTATAAATTGGATGGTCCATTATTGTAATTATATGTGGCATAAAATGCCAGCCAGTGCTTGTTCATTATATTATGCTTAGGTGTGGAAGAGCATATTTCAGGTTCAAGAGTTAGTATGCAAAAAGATGAATGGAATTCAGACTACTTATTCTAAACAGCATGTTTCAGGATTAGCCAAAAGCTCATCCATACATACTATTTAAAGAAACAAACTTTGGAAAAACAAGGTAATTGTGTATGGGTCCTAAGGTCATAGATTAGTATCATAAGAGATTGATGTTCAGAATGTGATTCAATATCTTAAGTATATAGTCTAATAATTCTTGAGGTGGCAAGAGGGGATATGGGGTAGAAAGGGAGAGTAGGGGAGTGTCAGAGTTCATGGGAGAATATGCAGTGTGAAAAAATTAAAATTATAATGATTTTTGATCAATGTACTTAATTTTCTTTGAAAGTGAATAATGATAATAGTAATAGGCATATATGATACTCTGAGCAATATACTAGGCATGTAAAAGAATTATAACATTAACTTGTCACAATAATACTTTGCAGTAGCTATTCTTAGTATCTGCATTTAAAAGATGGGGAAACTCAAATACAGAAGTGTAAGATCACATATCTGGTAAGTGCTCATAATTCAAACCCAAATACGTCTGATTCCAGGATCTAGGTTCCTCCCAATTTCACTGAAGTGTTTTTTTGCTAAATAACTAAAGGAAGGTATAGCACTCCTATTTTATCAAAAGTCACTTTACAAAAGGGATTTTTTAAAAGTTGAGTAATACTGTCATATTCCTAATGAAAAATTAAAAGGTATGTTCCTACCCACCAATAGGAGTAAACCACATTGCTAAATGACATAATTTTGTAAATACATATAACAGTTTAGACTGACATTTAATTTGCTTGAGTCCGTGACCTCAGACCATTCAATATCACTAAGGCATGTTTTCTCAATCAAACCATAAAAAATGAAATATATTTGTTTCACATAAACTATTTGCAAAAGGAATATGTATAGTTATGCTACATTGCTCATAATTCATTTTTATGTGAAGTATTTTGATACCAGGCTACAAAGGGCGGGGAGTTTCACTGTCATTTTGATTTAGGAAATGCCAGATACCTGTGAGCTCAACTGACATGCATAAATTATGAATTATGAAATGCTTTAGAATGATTTTGTCATTTTTTTCTCCTTCTATTCCATGTATATGGTTTTATTCCTGAAAATTATTGGTTACTTAATAAATTGAAAAGTAGAAATTTCTATCAAACAATAAATAATTTTTCCAATATTTATGGTATACTCTTTTTAGTAGACAAAGGTTTTTTTTACTGTATTTAAAATAAAATGCCACAGTACCTATAGGAGCTGACACATCTGCAGGGACACCCCTATCTATTGCCTTGTGAACATAAAAATTGGCATGAACAGTTTTTGGCATGCCTTATACAACTGTGCACAGGACTGAATAAATTGTCTCAAATAGCAATGTCCTAATACAGTCTTAGCAGCAAAATCTCATATCTGGAAGTAGCATCCATAATAATTCAATTATAATATCAATATATTATTGCATAAATCCTTATTGATTAAAGAAAATAAATGTACTTTAAAAAGACTTCAGCACGTAAATGAATATATGTGCATAAACAAAGACAGCTAAAAATCAATAAAATTGCAGAAGTACCCTCTAGTAAGGAAAGCTGCCCGTATGTCATATGGGACCTCCAGATCCGTTAATGCATAACAAATTTTCTCCCATCATCCCATTCCATGCCTATGTCGGTGTAACATTCTTCTCAAGTTTTCTAGGTCTTATATTGTCTTGGTTCTTCTGGCTTTTGTTTGCCCTTTGAACTAGTTAAGCTAATGGATCATCTTTCCACCTGGAAATATCCTTTCTATTTCATGCCGTGTTAACTCACATGTGAAGTTCAGTCATTTATTGTTCTCCCTCAAAATAGAAAATCGAATAAAGCCTATATGTATGTAATATAATTTACCAAATTTAGGGGGAGGAAAGGGATAGGAGGGACTTTACCATGAAGCAACATGATTATCTTAAATTGAATAATAGACATCCTAGTTACTAAAAACCCTTCAGTCATCCCATGCACTGCCAGGGATTTCTCGCTGCTACCTCACCGCAGATTGACCCAGGCCTCCTACTGTCTCTTTGGTTCCTTATTTATCTTCCCACTTCTATCTCACCACTTCCCTGTCCTTCCCTCCATGAGTTGACTTCTAAGAACTCCAAATTCAGCAGAGAAATTCACTTTGTCTTCCCCCAAGTACCCTAAAAGACAGAGCCTAACCAAAAGGTCTGCAGTGCTGTTTTATCAGGAAGTGAAAGCCCAGGGAAGCAAGAATGAGGTAAAGAGCAAAGTGAAGCAGGGAAGGAAGAAAAGAAAATAGGAGATGGTGCATTACGGAACTGGCCATAGTTTCACAAGAAAAGATAGCTCAGTATCACAGGACAGGTGGAAGTTTTTGCATCTCCAAGCAGCTGGGGGAGAAAGGCAGAAAAATATATCTGCAGGACCCTTTCGATCTCGGGTCTCTCATCGGTCAGTTTCCTTCCAACAGGACATTAACTCCTCTTTACTTGTGGTTTTAAACACTTGTATTTCTCATCAAATAAATATGTAATAACTTTACTTGATTCCTGGATACACTCAAATGATACATTCTCCTTCAGAATTTTTTTTTAGAGACGGGGTCTCACTCTGTCGCCCAGGCTGGAGTGCAGTCATGGCTCACTGCAATCTTAAGGGAGCCTCCAGAGTAGCTGGAGCTACAGGCATGCGCCACCACGCATGGCTCTCCAGGATTTTAATCAGCAAACTCACTGGCAGCTATCTGTTATTTCAAAAAACCTCTTGCCAGTGTCCTACATGTCCTACATTTTTCTGCTATGTTGTCCTCTTGTTTGAACCTGCTGGGGGGAAAAAATATATATATATATAAATATATATTTATATGTATATATTTATATATATTTATATATATATATTTATATATATATTTATATATATATTTATATATATATTTATATATATATTTATATATATATTTATATATATATTTATATATATTTATATATATTTATATATATATTTATATATATATTTATATATATACTTATATATATTTATATATATTTATATATATACTTATATATATTTATATATATTTATATATATATTTATATATATACTTATATATATTTATATATTTATATACATACTTATATATATTTATATATATTTATATATATATTTATATATATTTATATATATTTATATGTATTTATATATACATTTATATATATTCATATATATTTATATATATATATTTATATATATATTTATATATATTTATATATATATTTATATATATTTATATATATATTTATATATATATTTATATATATTTATATATATATTTATATATATATATATATTTTATATATTTATATATATATATTTATATATATATTTTATATATATTTATATATATTTATATATATTTTATATATATTTATATATATATATATATGCTAGCACTGAGCTAGCTGGAGAAAGTGGTACAACTGGGAATTCTGTCCATAAATTCACTAACCTTAGCTAGGCTTTGAACACTGCCCAACCGTGCTGCTTTATTTCCTTCCCTACTTGCTCTCCTGTTCTGTATACAATTTTTAATCTTCACTCTCCTTAAACCTAAAGCCCCAAGCTTTCCCCTCACCCCCAGGAGATGACTTTACCACCTACTTCACAAGGAACATGAGAGCCATTAAGTAGACATTCCATCATATTCCTATCACCCAATTTTCTTTTTTCTTTTTTTCTTTTTTTTTCTTTTTCTTTTTCTTTTTTTTTTTTTTTTTTTTTTTGTTTGTTTGTTTGAGACGGAATCTCACTTTGTCTCCCAGGCTGGAGTACAGTGGCGCCATCTCTGCTCACTGCAAGCTCTGCCTCCCGGGTTCACACCATTCTCCTGCCTCAGCCTCCGGAGTAGCTGGGACTACAGGCGCCCGCCACCACGCCCAGCTAATTTTTTGTATTTTTAGTAGAGACGGGGTTTCACCTTGTTAGCCAGGATGGCCTCGATCTGCTCACCTTGTGATCTGCCTGCCTTGTCCTCCCAAAGTGCTGGGATTACAGGCGTGAGCCACCATGCCCGGTCCCCAATTTTCAAATCTACTTGCATCCTTAGTAGCAACGACAGAGCCTGGCATGGAAGGGATAATAGTAAATATTTACTGAATAAATGCATATCCATCCTTACCTCCTGCATCATGTGTAATGAAGAAATCCTTTCCTTTGTCTCCATATTCTTTTTCATTTGCCTTTCAGGAATCTCACACTACTCATTTTTTTACTCTCTCCTAGAGTCTTTATCCTCCCCCCTCTTTATGGGTTACTTCTCATGTGCATTTAAGTATGTTATAACGTCTCTAAATTAAAAAAAAATTCCTGCAGACTTACTCCCACCCTTCCACAGCTGTATGATATTCCATTGTATCCTACAATTTGTCCATTCTTTTGTTGGTTGTTTGAGTTATTTTTAGTTTTTTGTTAATACAGTGTTTCTACAAACATATGTAGTATTTTCTCCAGAAGAGGAATTGCTGGATAATTGGATATGCACAAACTCAACTATGGCACATGACGCCAAATTGTGATTCAAAACGGTTGGACCATTTACACTCATGCTGGCCATGTGGAAGGTTTTCCATTGTTCCACGTCATCATAGTCTCAGAATGTTTTTTAATTAATTAATTTAAAAATTTTTTTCTCTTTTTCTTTTTGTTTTGTTTTGTTTTGTTTCACATTTCTTAAGTTTTGCAAATCAAATGGGTGTTTAATGGTATCACAGTTTGGCTTTACTTTGCATTTCCCTGGTTACTAATGAAACTGTCCGTCTTTTAATATAGACCATTCCTCTTTCTTCTTTTAGGAACTTAAAGCTTTTGCTCATTTTTCTTTTGTATCATTTATCTTTTTAGTGTTGGTTTGAATTTCTTTCTATAGTCTGGATATTAACAATTTTAAATCATATTTGCTGCAAATATGGTATTTGTGATTTGATTCCTACTTTATGCTGTTTTGTTGTTAAATAGATGAACTTATTCTTAATATAGTTGAATTAAATAGTCTTTTTCTTTGTAATTTGAGTATTTTGCTTCTTTGAGAAGTCTTTGCTCTGAAATCATAAAGATTTTCTTATAGATTGTCTTATAAAGTGTTATAGAATTCTCTCATCTACCTATAATTAATTATGTGATAACCAGCTTCCAAGATGGCACCAATAATCCCTGCCCCGGATATTCATACCCTTGTCTGTGGTATCCCCACTTACTGAATAAGGCTGACCTGTATAATAAATAAGATATGCAAAAATGATGGTGTTAGATCTCTGAGCCTAGATAACAAAAGGCATTGTAATTTCCACCTGTCCTCTCTTTTTTATTTCTAGCTATGAGGGAAGCCAACTTCTGTGTCATGAGGACATTCAAGCAGCACTATGGAGCCATCCATGTGGCTAGGAGCTGAAACTGAGCCAAGAAGCAGTGAGGAACTGGCTGGTAACAGCCATGTGGGTAAAAGCCATCTGAGAAGTGCATGCTCTAGTCTCAGTCAAGCCTTCAGAAGACTGTGGCACCTGACATCTCCACTGCAACCTCATTAGAAACTCAAGACAGAACTGCCAGAGAAGCTCTTCCTGAATTTCTGACCTACAGAAACGGTGTCAAAAAGATATTTATTATTGTTTTGAGCCCTAAGTTTTTGGAGTGACTTGTTGCTCCAAATATATTAGATAATATATTATATATGTAAGGTAACATTTCAGTTTTGACATTTTCACATGCATGATCAGTTATTTCAGCACTATTTAAAAATTTCTTTCTATCTTCTGTTATCAGCAAGATCAGCTGTGTCATAAATTAAGTTTCCAATTATATGTAGATTTGATTCTGGACTCTTTATTCTGTTTCACAGGTCACGTTGCTTATTCTTGAGTGAATACTTCATTATTTAATTATTATATATATATATTTGATAAGGCATACAGTTTGCTATAGTCTTACCTATTTTTAAACCTTTGGTCTTTTATATCCTTAGAATCACCTTGACATTCTTTACAAGAAAATCCATCGGGTTTTGAGTGGAATTACACTGAGTATAAGTACCAGTTGGGGAAAAATTGACATCTTTAGTATGTCGAATCTTTTAATCCATTTGTAATCCATGCTGTGTTACTGTTTTTATTTGGAGTTGTCTTTCAAAATGTTTTACAGTTTTCTTTGCAAAGGTCACATACATCTTTTGTTAGTTCCATTACTAGGTATTTCATTTTTATACACAAGAATGAAATATTAATAGATCCTTAAAGAAAATAACATTTAAAATAGCATAAGATATATCAAATTGCTCAAGTCAGAAACTGGCACATAATAAATACATCATAAATGTCCTAAACCAGATGTATGAATGAATAAATAAATGGATGAGTGGATGAATATGAGACCCAGTATGCCTATCTATAACCTATTATTTCAGATACCATTCTGCTTAGGTATTCAGTATTCTCAAGGGATTTTTCTCCACAATAAGAAAACTTGATGCTTCCAGTTCTTACCTCAGTATGCCACTGATAAAGTAAAACAGATCTAAAAGAATAGTTTCAAAGAGATGTAAAATGACACCTTATGTCAACTTGTCTTTTCCTTTTTCATGACTCCTTTTTCTTCTTTCTAACTTTTGGCATCTGTAATTGAGATTTCCTTCCAAGCATATTTAGCTCAACTTAAATATACTTCATTGAGGCTTTGGCAAACCTTTTCAAGTATAAGGATAATACAGAATTATCTATTTTTCTATAGTTTGTTTTATTGCTGCTGTTATTGTTGTTTTATTTTGTTTGCTATAAAGATTAGCCTCTTGTTCAATGGAAAATATGATCAAAAACAGTGTTCAAAAATTATTTAAGGGCCCCATCACTACAGCAATCATTAGTCCTACTGTGTATGAAATTTCTAAGTATTTCTAAATGCTCAACCCTAGACATGCCCTTCACTGATATTTTTAATGTGCTTTCAGTACCTTGGCCATTTAATAACTTATGTTCTTTTTTCAAAATCTTAGGAAGAAATTGTGTTTTGGAATTGGGCCAACAGTATGTGTTTCTCCGGTGGATAAGCAAAATTTCATAAGAACAAAGATGATTCAAGCAGATGTTTATCATGAAACTGCCATAAAAAGCACCCGAAGTCACAAAGATAAACATCAAATCCAGTCCTTGGAAATTTCCCCCACCCTACCTGAGCATCTTTTGAAGTAGATATTCAATTATTTTGAAGGATTTTTAAAGAATTTTCTAGATTTCATCTAAAAGACACTTTTGAAATCTGCGTTAAAATTCATGGAAATATATCCTAGATGAATTTGGAGGAATGTAAGCAAGTAGGTACAAACCTTTATTTTATCCCTCAGTGACTCACTCAGTTGTGAATAGGAAGGGCTCTCTGTGATCTGGCCACAGCTTATTTCTTGCCACATTCCTATTTTCAGTCCTCTTCCAATCATGTGGAACTTCCAGCATCTCCTTACACATGCCATGTTATTTCACACTTTTGTGACTTTGCTCATATTTTTCTCTCTCCCTGGAAAGCTCCCCGACAACCTCCACTGCCATTACCCACTAGGCAAGTACATCCTGTTTTCAGAATCAGCCCAATATCATCTTTCCTAGGGAATCTTGTCAGACTGCCCTTCATTACCAACAGACAAAATAACTACCTTATCTTTGGTTCTGTCTTCACTCTAGACCTATGTAGCATGCTACTTATAACACTGCATTGGTTTGTTGGCATTTGTATTTTCCACTGAGCAACCATAACTTATGTGTAGACAAAAATTGTATTGCTCACCTTTGGATTACTAGGACCTAGCAGTGTTCTGATTCAGAGTATGTACTCAATAAATTCATCTTGAAAAGTGAATGAATGAATAAATGAACGCCTGCATCTCCATCATTGATTTACTATTTAATCAGTGAAGTTTTTAAATTATATTCCCCCATATCTTGAGATTTGATCTTGTGTTAAATCAGTTGCACATATTAGACATTACTTTGTCCTTTTCACTTCTCCTTAGCACATATGGGCTATATAATCTTTATAAAGGTTAAAGAAATATATTGTAATATGTTATAACACAATCAAGATACATCTGAAACAACATAGTGCAGGCACTATTTCCGATGTTCAACATCATGCTGGAGTAAAACTTAGAGACTCTTGGAAAAAAGAAATACTTAAATAATGTCACCAGTGTAATGTGCTACATTGTAATGGTGTTATGCTTATTACATGTGTTATCTAGTAATGCACAAAAAGCCTAATGGATTTGCTCATATTTTCCTCATGTGCAAATGAAAACACTGAGTCTCAGAGAGATTAAATAAATTGCCAAATGTCATGTCAAGCGATTTTGATCCTGGTATTTCTAATATAAAAGCCCATGTTTTAATTTATTAACTGTTTGACATATAACAATAATAGATCATTACATGTTAATATAAATAACCTATGTATGAAGACTAATTATATTTTTACTTCTGCATTCAATCAACTGCAACATGTCATTTTGGTTGATGTGTACAGAAAATACTCAACATCTCGCAGATATTGGGTTGGAAAACAGAGGACATTTTTATATCTGTTTCAGATAAATGTATATATTTTTCTTTGATAGTACACCAAAATTTGACAAGTGACTATTTCTTAAAGGGTAGTTGCAGCATGAAATCCAAAATAACATCAATAAACTTTTCATTCTCTGTTACACTAAAATTCATTGGTTTTATCTTACACAAAGTGTGGATGATTTTGTAACATCATGTGTTGGTCATTTAGAAAACATTATTCCACTGGGTTATGCAGATTTTCTAAATGCTGACACATTTCATTTTATAATTTCAAAAATGAACATTTATTAATGTCACCAATATCATCAAAATGTTTGAACTACTGGGACGCATCAAGTTCATTCTGGTAGACACACATTTTTCAACATGTAACTCTTCCTTGAAAACTCAAATTTTATCATTGACAACAAATGCGGTCAGTTGTTTTCCTTGAATTATCAAACTCACTTTGCTCATTTTTGAGAAAATATTTGCCAATTATCCAAGTCTGAATAGACATGGTTTCTTTGTCAATGTTCGTTCTTTTAATGGTGTTTTCTGAAGAAAAGTGTAGTTCATTTGCAACTCACTGGCACAAATGCTTTTCTTCCAGACAACCATCATAGTTGAGTAAGCAGCAGAAGTGCCTAATGCATACTTTCCATTTTATCACGCAGAATATTAGCAGAACATTTTCTCAAGGGTTGAGATTTAATAACACAAATAATTGTAACTACTTCATCAATGATATACTTAAGTGAAACAGGCATGCAATAAAATGTTTTTGAATAAATGAATAAACTGCCTTGTATTAGGCCCACCAAGGTGAATTTGAAGGTATATATTTGCCTCATGGAAACAGAACTAACACAGTGTTTCATAAATGAAAGTTCACAGATAGATCACATTAATTTAACTCAGAATACTTTATTGAAATGTAGAACTGAGGCCCCATTCCCAAATAATCGGATTTGGTCCATCTAGGGTGAAAAGAGAGACAATGCATATTAAAATACGCTCCAGATAATTTTGAAGAACTGTCAGTTTTGGGGACTGCCTGCTAATGGGACTGTAGTTACAGAGTTTCTTTGGGCAATGATGAAAATTCTCTCAAACTTTATCAAAGGCCAAAAAATGACTGGCTAATATTACTAATTAGAATTCTACTATAATCCCATAGTACAAGTTTATAGTTTTTAAATCTCAAGTGTGTCAAATGTATATTCTTGCCAAGCGTGCTACCCTCCACGATAACAAGGAGAGACTGCTTCCAAGGACAGGGATCAAGTGAGTCTCTGAGTTAAATCCTGTCCTTCCTTTCATATTCTCCTTGATTAACTTACAAAATAATTACATTCTTTTAAAGTGTGTCCTCATTAATTACAGTTTTTTTGACATAATTTAAAAGAATTATTTTCTTAAGGTATGCCAACAGAGGGTAATAGAGGTGGGCTGGGACATTTATTCTTCTCTGATCTTTCTCTGATGCACCCAAAGGCTATTTAATGCACAACTGCCCTCTCATTGCAACATCAAAGCATGTAATTCACTATTTAGGTTTTACTTTCACAGTAGAGAAATTGTCCAGACTAAGCATATTAAATCGTGTTGCAAATGACTTTTTTTTGTGAGGTAAAATATAAATAACACAAATTTACCATTTAAAAAATTTTTAAGTATAGAGTCCAATGGCATTAAGTACATTTATATCATTGTGTAACTATCATAACAAATGACTTTTATATAAGTAAGTCAATGGAAAATTCAAGTATATCATATCTACAAAGTATCTTCAATTATTAAAGTAAAACCATAGTTTTAATAAAAAACATTATCAAAAGACTTCATATAAACTAATAATCCTATTGCTAAATTCCTGACATTGTTATTTATAGGACTGTCTTTTAAAATATATTTACATTTGAATTTTTTAATAACCCAAAGATTTTCATCCAGATTTCATATTAAAAATAAATTCATTGATCCATCATGATACAGATTGCATATAAGTATATTAAATGACAGACTTTTTATCCTAGTTTCATTTTAAAAACAAACTTTCCTATCAATCACGGGCAGATGTTGATAAGGTAATAGCAGCTGTGGCAGAGAATACATTTTTATTAAGGAAAAATGACAATGTATGTCTTTAATGGGTAAGATTATTAATAGCTCTTTGCAAGTATCAGACAGAAGTTTTTATGAGTATTTTAAGCAAAAGCTTTAATAACCGATAACTCATTCACTGTGTTTCTTATTGGGGTACCAGCTGCTACTGTTCCTTCTCTCTTCACAAGAATTCAAATTCCAAGGCTATGTGTACCTGACAATACCAGACAGGTCAAAACATAGCCACCAACTTGACTAAGAGAATTAACCATTTAAGGCAAAATATCACGAGGTTTTCCCCTCTTTCCACATCCTTCCTTCTTTATGCCCTCTTCTTAAGCATTGCTGTTTCCCATGTATCCAACTTCCTACTAAACCCATATAATTGGACAATACATCTCAATACAGTTACAAAACCCAACTCATTATTTCCTCCCCAACCTTCCCCACAATGGGTGGGTGTTTTTGATCTCAGTGAAGGTCACCACCCCTGACCAGTCTCTCTCCCCATGCAGTGCCTCAGCTCCAGAACTAGTTTACCACAATGGACTCTAATGAGTTTTCCTGTCACTCAATTCTCTTCTCTACACTACTAGAGTTATCTTTCTAGTATTTGAATCTGATTATGTTTCTCCTTTACTTAAAAATCCATCAGTAAGAAAACAAGGAGCAGAAACTTTAAACATTCCTAAATACCCTCATACTACTTGCTTCCCACTTTCCACTACACCCTCCATTCCCATTGTTCCCAATAATCATCCTTCTCTCCATTCAAACAGAATTGACTGAATTCTCCCATGGATAAAGCAGTTTTCTTTTTCTTATAACACGCTTCACATTGTCTCTTCTTCCATTAAAAGTAAGCTGAAACATCACTTCCCCCATAAAGTGTTCTTTGATCTTACCCCACCTCACCTCTCCAGCCATAGCCCTAGGCCAATTTAGGCATCCCCTGTTTGTTCACCTAAAGCTGTCTCTACACACCTCTTCCCATCAGAGTACCTCACAATCCTAGATTTACTTTTATTTCCTCTACTAGATTGTTGACTTTTGAGAGAAAGGGATGTCTTACTTTCCTCTGAGGTACTAGAACCAAACACAGTATTGGCTGCAGTAGCAAGCAATAAAAGTTTGTTGAATGGATGAATAGCTGAATGAATTTAATCAACTAAAATGTTTAGATTTAAATATATAGCCAACCATACTATAACATGAGAATCCAGAATTATTGTCCCACTATTCAAAATGCTCCTCTATAAATCCAGTCTACTAAATGTTTATGTTTCATTTTGGTTAATTCTTAGACAAGAGGGTTTAGTGCACTACAGAAACCATCTCATTAGATTTTCATATAGTTTTATTTTTCCTCATTTATGTAATGTATTACATATATATGTATACTCTAGTGAAAATTTTTTTGATCTTGACTTACACATTCAGTTGGTAGACATTTGTGTGGGCATGAATATAAACATGTCTAGTCACGAGAATATCCTGATTCAAATAGGGAAGCAAAAGATGACACGCTCTCAGACAGGAAGTGACTGTCAGCATCCTTTAAAAAGAAACAACAGGCTGTGGTTCGTTTATTTCCTTGCTTATTTGTGACTTGCCCTCAGTGCCTGATGATGCTTGGTACAAAGAACTGAGTAAAACTATCTTTTATATTTTCTATTTATATAGCAATTTACATTTAAAAGCACTTTCAAGTTAATTCTCTCCTTTGAAACATTTGTTGATATGTCAATTTTAGTTAATATTCCTGAATATTTGATGATTTTTAAAAGAAACCAAGTTATAGATTCATTTTACTGTATCTAAAAATTAAAATTCTATTTTGGCTCAATTTTGTAAAAATATCTCAATTATGTTTCAACTTTGTTTTGAATTTTTAAAATGGTCTGTCAGTCCAGTAATCCCACTGCTGGGTATATACCCAAAAGAAAGAAAATCAGTATACTGAAGAGATATCTGCACACCTATGTTTGTTGCAGTACTGTTTACAATAGCTAAGTGTCCATCAACAGATCAATGGGTAAAGAAAATATGGTACATATACACAATGGAGCACTACTCAGCCAAAAAAAAGAATGAGGTCCAGTCATTTGCAACATGAATGGAACTGGAGATCATTATGTGAAGCAAAATAAGCCAGGCACAGAAAGACAAACATTGCATGTTCTCACTTATTTGTGGGATCCAAAAATCAAAGCAAATGAACTCATGGGCATAAGGGTGGTTACCAGAATATGGGAAGGGTAGTGGGGGTGGGGCAGTGGGGGGGAAAGGTAGGGAAAGTTAATGAGTACAAAAAATATATAAATAATGAATAAGACCTACTATTTGGTAGCACAATAAGGTGACTATAGTCAATAGTAACGTAATTTTACACTTTTAAAAAACTTAAAGACTGTAATTGGATTGTTTTTAACTAAAAGGATAAATGCTTGAGGGGATGGATACTCCATTCTTCATGATGTGCTTATTTCACATTGCACGCCTGTATCAAAACATCTCATGTATCCCATAAATACATAAACCTTCTCTGTACCCACAAAAAATAAAAATAATAAAAAAGGTCTGTCATGTGCTTTATAATACTTTTAAGTGAACTTTAAGTTATTTGTTTTCTTCATCTTTTTTCTTTTTTCTCTTTCTTCCTTTCTTTTTTTTCCCCCCAGAGACAGAGTCTTATTATATTGCCCAGGCTGGTCTCAGTCATTTGTTTTGTTTTCTATAAAGTAGACAGGAATCACTCAATGAAATAATTAGTTTTGTGGGGTGGGGCGGCAGGTGTTTGTTTGTTTGTTTGTTTGAGACAGGGTATCACTCTGTCACCCAGGCTGGAGTACAGTGGCACGATCTCGGCTCACTGCAACCTCCATCTACCAGGCTCAAGTGATCCTCCCAACTCAGCCTACCAAGTAGCTGGGACTACAGGCCCACACTACTAGGCCCGAATAATTTTTTGTATTTTTTTTGTAGAGGTGGGACTTTGCTATGTTGCCAGGCCCAGGTCTCAAACTCCTAAACTCAAGGGATCCACCTGCCTTGGCCTCCCAAAGTGCTGGTATTATAGGCATGAGCCAACACACCTGGCCTAGAAAATATGTAGTTCTAATCCAAAGTATTCTAATCACCTCTATGGATTGATGTTCAGCTCCAAATTACTTCTATGAATATAATCTGAAGAATTCAGTGTTCTTTGTTTATCATATTTTTCCCAGTTACTAAGGTGAAATATCATGTCACCACTTCATTTTGAAGTTGCTCCTCATTCTTGTGCTATTGCAGTGCTCTTATAAATATTATTTTTTATTTCGTTGAAGGAAAGTAATAATTGTTATTTCTAGATGAAAAGATTGTGTTTCACTTTTTCTCCTGTCTTCCTCTTCAACCTAAACCTTTGAAACCTGCTGAACTTATTCCTATATGCTATCTACAATCAATGTCTTAATATTTAATTCCCAGAGGGACTTACACAAAGAATACATACATAATAGAATTTATGTTTTAAATTGTCTGTACAGTTCATGTAGCTTCAGTCATAATTATTAGGAATCAATCCGGTCACAAATGGAGAGGTGTGATTGCAGTTAAATGGTAGTTAACAACTAGTGATTTACTCCTCCTATGGGCCAGGCACTGTTACAAGCCATGGGATGTGGTAAAGAACTGACCATGCTTCCACTGAAATGTTACAGTCACCTAGAATGACCAAGAGTGTTTTATATGAAGCCTCTTGGAGTCTATCATTCTGTTTGGAGTGACAGCTGAAGTTTTATATTTATTTTTCCTACCTTAGTGTTCTTTTTGCCCAGTACCTTAATGTATTATTTAAAATGTTTTTGTGTGCACATTTTTATAACACCTCAAATTGTTATTGGAATGACGTATGATATCAGATAGATAAATCTCAATGCAGAAGTCCATTTTTAGCATACATCCAATAAATGTCACTCTTTTCTCCAACAAGTGAACAGGAAATGGGCTTTCCTTTGCCTCAGCACATTCAAGAATGCAAAGCCCTCCTGTTGGAAATCAGAAAGTCAATATTAAGGAAGCAAAGACAGAAACCATTCTGAGTAATTAGCAACACACATTTTGCAGGGCAAACTTTTGAGAGAATGGTGCTTATATATTTTCAATTTAATATTTATATATTTTCAATTTAATAATTGAAGTGAACCTTAAGGAAACAATCAGCCAAACTCAGAATGTGGAAAATTCAACAGGACAAATAACCCAATTTCATCAATAAATAAATGGCAAAAGAAAGAAAGACGATTTTGTTAATATCATAGCTCATTCTGTAATGAGTTGAGATATACAAATGTGCATACAAACCATGAATTTTAAAATAATATATTTAAAAAGTAAAGGTGAAAAGAACACTAAGGTATGAAAAATAAATACGAGAGAGAAAGAAAGAACTGCTATAGATTGGGAGAACTATAACAGACAAATGTACCAAATACAATGTACAACCTTGTTACATTCCTGATCCCAACAAACTAGCTATAAAAAGACAATCAGGGAAAAAAACTAAATACATATTAGGCATTAGATAATAAGAAAATATTGTTAATTTTGGGGACATGATAATGGAATTGTAGTTATATTTTTAAAGTCCTTATATATTAAAGATATATTGATATATTTATAGATAAAATGGTAATGTCAGATATTTGCTTTTAAATATTTCAAATACATTTATTTTATTTGCGTAGTTTAAAAGCAAGTAAAAGATAAATAAATACAGCAAATCTTGAATCACAGTGTTTCCAATAGGGTTTATTTTTATTTGTTTATTATTAATATTTTTTTTGAGATGGAGTCTCACTCTGTCACCCATGCTAGAGTGCAGTGGTGTGATCTCGGCTCACTGCAACCTCCATCTCCCGGGTTCAAGTGATTCTCCTGCCTCAGTCTCCTCAGCAGCTGGGATTACAGGCACCTGCCACCACTCTCAGGTAATTTTTGTACTTTTAGTAGAGACAGGGTTTCACCATGTTGGCCAGTCTGGTCTTGAACTCCTGACCTCAAGTGATCCGTGTCCCTCAGCCTCCCAAAGTGCTGGGATTACATGGGTGAGCCACCACTCCTGGCCTCTAATCGGGTTTAAATGAATGCAAATAATATTCTCATTTTACAAAAGCACCAACTGAGGGAAATTTTTATTTGAGAGTGATTTATTTGGGACTGTGGTTCTAGGAATCAGAAGGAGAATGGGAAGAAGAGAAAAGTAACAGAGGAATGCATATTGATTTGGCTACCACTTTTGTATGACAGGGAGATCAATCTTGAAAGAACATCTGAAAGCCTAGTGAAATGCTTCTCAGAATCATCCACTGGGGAAAGAAAAGGGAAAGCATTTGTCAATCAAGTCTCTTCCCCATTAGTCAAGAGCTATGTCACGGGGCATTACCATCTCTACACAAGCACAAATGCTAAGAGTTCCTGTGAATATCTAATGAGCAGGCATACCCCTACCAGAAAGTAAGAGGTACCCAACGTCTGCCTAAGGCAATGTGCTGCCAGGTTGCACCTCAGTGAATCTGGTTGAATCCTACGTGGGAATTAGTCTCCACAACTAAGGCCAGAATAAGAGGATTAGAAGTGGCACACAGGAATTGTTTCAATACAATCCATTCTTTGTGCCTACCAGTCATGTCTCTTTTTGCTTTGCGTTAAATCCAGTCAGTTACAGAATCCCCTTCAATATGGTGGCCAGCTGGAATCTCTGTAAAGACTGAATGCAGGAAAGTTAGTGAAACAAGCTGCAGTCCCCAGTGCAACACCAGATTCCAAAGCCTTAATTGACATAATTTATCTCCTTCCTGCACTAACAATTTTAGAATTCTCTGACCCTAGGCCTGCTCCTTGGTTGGTCTATGTTGTTTGCTTTCTGGAATGACCCAGACTTTCTTCCCCAAGGGGTTTATACCCCTGATTTCTTTGTGTTTGGCAAACTGTGGTTGCTACAATTTTCCATTCACAATTATCACTGGGCCTGTGGCACCAAGACACAACCAGTGAACAGCTCCTAGACATCCTATAGGTCCTAGATATACATCTCCCTGTCATTATTTTGTACCGATAACCCTAGGTCCTAAAGATAAAAATCAAGAATAATTACCATTACCAGTACAACTGTTCTTTGCCTACTGTTTGATTTCAGGATTGTAAGTGTTCAAATGTGACAATGTACAGATAACCAATAAGATGCTCAGAATGTAGGCCGGGCGCCGTGGCTCACGTCTGTAATCCCAGCACTTTGGGAGGCCGAGGAGGGCGGATCACGAGGTCAGGCGATCGAGACCATCCTGGCTAACACAGTGAAACTGCGTCTCTACTAAAAACACAAAAAATTAGCCAGGCGTGGTGGCGGGCACCTGTAGTCCCAGCTACTTGGGAGGCTGAGGCAGGAGAATGGCATGAACCTGGGAGGCGGAGCTTGCAGTGAGCCGAGATTGTGCCACTGCACTCCAGCCTGGGTGACAGAGCGAGACTCTGTCTCAAAAAAAAAAAAAAAAAAAAAAGATACTCAGAATGTAGTACTGAATTAAGTAGAACAATTATAATGTTGGTAATAGAACAGGTCACACAAGGTCTTATTAGCAGCAGCAGGTGACACTTTATACTTTTATAAACTTGACCTCAAACTATCAATCACCTATAATTACATAGAAAACAAACAAACAAAAAAAAAACCAGGTGGGTGAACAGGTCTCAAAGCACAAGTGTTAGATGAGATCTTCTTCTCGTAAATCATTTTCAAAAACTCTAATATCTGTGTTAGTTTTTTTCTATTTAAAATAATTTATACTTTTTTCTCACTCAATAAGAATTTGAAGGAAATGTGTTAAACTAATAATTGTTAGCAAATGTGAACAGGACAAAGCTTTTTCAACAGAAGATTGGGCTCTTATCTACTTCACCAGTTATACTTAATCCAGATGCATTTGTTTACTCAATAATGCCTCCATTTATTTGTGCATATCTGTGATAGGCTCTTATATGAATTGGTCTTAATCCCTAAAATAATCTTGTGAGGTAAATAACTGTGGAGGTGTGGGAAGTAGTTTCCCCAGGGTTAAACAGTTACTAAACACCTAAGTCAGAATTTCAACTCAAACCTGTTGCCTTCAGAACCATCATCTGGAATAGTAAAAAGGTATTGTTCAATTTACAATTATAAATATTTGTAGGAAGTCTCTTTAGGTTTGGATTCTTTGGATTGTCATGTTGTGATTCCAAACCAAGAACAAAGGTGTAATTAAGAATAGACAAGAAATTTACAGGCTGGTGCTTTCAAATTGCCAGCTTATATACAATTCCATCATTGCCTATTCTATCATAGGCAGAAATAGAATACATACCTAATTTTTGTAGGTTGTAAATCAAGGTACCTTCATCTACCCTAGCCAAAGAGTTGTTATTTGAGTTAAATCAAAATGATCACATGCTCTCCTGGGATTTTGATATGTGAGTAAAGTGACACAAGGATGGAAAAACAGGTAGAGCATAATTATTCCAGGGCCAGCATTCTTACAATACAATCAAGCAGTTCAGGCAGCCACGATCTCCTTCCAATGAACTTTTTTTTCGTACATTAGACCATCAGTTTCTGTTGCTAGCAATCAAAGAATCTCAAACAATACATAATTACAACCCACAAAGATCACTTCTTTCTCCAAACCTCTATTATATTGACAATCCACACCGTACAGTCCAGCGTCAATGTTCTCTAATTCTACCCAGGAATGTTGCCATCCGAGTCTGAGTGGAAACTACTCGGGCATTTCTATTATTATTCTTTGGGGTTCTCTGACATGACCCAGCATAGGGCTAAGTGTTAAACTGATGGATAGACTTTAGAAACATATTAAGATAGAAAAGATGGCAAGGGGTATAATATGGGTAAGGAGGGGAAAGGAAATGAACATAAAGATCAGGGAGTACCAAAGCAGAAATCCAAAGTCTTCTCCTTATTCCCTGCTTCAGTATACTCATACTGTTGCAAAGACATTGCTTTCCACTGGACAGCTCTTCAGACTAATAGTAAGTACACAAAAACCATTCATGTTGGTCACGTCAGTTTATGTAAACATAATACATCATGATCACATTTTTTTTGCACAAATATAAAAAAGTTACATAGAATAGTATTCTCTTCTGTCACCGCCACTAATGGTTATAAAAAATATTAAGAAACTTGCCATGAAGAAAATAATAATCTCTTATTAGATGCCATGAATGTAATAGTTTTGAAGAGTTTTAAACATTTTAGTTGAGTGGCCTATTTTCCTCAGCTTGCAGAGTATAAACAATTTATTTCACAAAATGTTCAATGCAAAAGGGTGATTATTTATATCAAATTGTTGAAGGAGAGTCTGTACGCTGAAGTCATTCTGAGACAGGAATTAGGAGAATTTGTTCGTGATTTATAAGGCATGGTTTTTCTCAACTTGAATACTGAGAAAGCAGAAAGAAAGGGTAGCCCTTTGAAAAAAAATGCTTAGATTTTTAGAAAATAGTAACTCTTCTGGTTAAATTATGTAATGTCTACCATTTTCTTTTTGCTTTTATCCACATTAAGGCATGTCTTCTAACAAACACAAGGGTTGACTCCATTCAGAATGGTCTCATTTACCTTGGAAAAATTAAACATCACCTCACAATGCTAACCATGCTTTCTTTAACTCTCATAATTTTACTTGAAACTTTTCCTAAAGACCTGTTATTATGGTAAAATACATAGGGATAACTAAGTTAAACATACCTTTGAAAGTTTTGCATAAAGAACATTTTCTGAAACTAGCAATTGTCTATGAAGTCATTCCATTTTGAAGGACATTCATGAACTTAACCTCCTACAAAACTAAATAAAAATTACTTGAGGAGTTAATTCAGGAAATGTATAAAGAAATTAAAAAAGAAAAACAGAGGATACAAGAAACAAGGCCTGTTATGTCTGATCCAAAAGAAGTGGGGAAGAAAGTCTAAAACAAAATTAAGAGTATCATAAATTCAAGATGCTTGGACAATTCTCTTTAGAGTAGCAAAATTCAGAGACACAAGGTTGCATTTACATTTTTATTCATCCAACCACATTACTTGATTCAATGGAAAATATTTATATATAGTATGTATATATAAAGTATGTACGTTTACACATATACAATAGCATATGTGCTTATTGTATATGTGTAAAACACATATACAAAACACTATTGTATATGTGTAAACATACTTGGCTTTGTGAACCCAAAGGTATCTGAGACAAGTTTCAATCAATTTAGAAAGTTCATTTTGCCAAGGTTAAGGACACGCTCATGACACAGCCCCAGGAGGTCCTGATGACATGTGCCCAAGATGGTCAGGGTACAGCTGGGTTTTATACATTTTATGGAGACATGAGACATCAATCAACGTGCATAAGATGTACATTGGTTCAGACCAGAAAGACCAGAAAACTCAAAGCGGAGGTGGGGCTTCCATGTCATAGGTGGATAAGAGACAAAAGGTTGTATTCTTTTGGGTCTTCGATAAGCCTTTCACTGAATACCAAATTTACGTGTGAGAGTGAGTGTAGAATAGTCACTTATGCCTTAGTTTGGTTCAGTGAATCTGTAATTTTATGTAAACAATAGGGCAGAGGAAGCATCAGGTCTGCATTTGTCTCAGGTGAGCAGAGGAATGACTTTAAGTTCTGTCCTTTGTCCCGCACCTGTAAAGATAAGCTATCAATTTACATTGCCAGGGTGAAATTGAACAGAACTGTTTTAGGGTAAAAATCTTGAGGCCCACAGGAATTTCCTTTTTGGAACATTATAAGGTAGATATGTAGCTTTTTTTTTTTTTATCTTTGTAGCTGTCTTATTTAGAAAAAAAATGGGAGGCAGGTTTGCCCGATGCAGTTCCCGGCTTGACTTTTTCCTTTGACTTAGCAATTTAGGGGTACTGAGACTTATTTTCCTTTCAAAGTTTTTAGAATGAATCTACAATGTATACAAATATAATTTTAGTGACTGTAAGCCTTAACTATAAATATAATAACTCAATACACCTAACAAAAAGTAGAAGGCAGATGGGAAAGGAGAATTGAGAGGTAGGAAGGGCTTGCTAAATGTCTCTTGGTTTCTGAGTAGACAATCAACAGATGCTGTTTAATGCTGTTGGTAAATCTAAAAATGACAATCACTGACTGTGAAACTAACGAAATGTGTTTCAGGAATCTTGACTTGCAGGGGCCCTTTGCAAAGCATTGGGAGGAGCCCTAACAATGTGTAGTTGTAATTCTGTGTTCTTTTTCTTAAAAGGGTGTGCTCCCAGATGAGTAAATTCGGTACCCACAAAATTTGGATGCACTACTGAGCTTCTACCTTCTTTTGGAAGGGAACTATGCATTTGGAGGGCCAGGAAGCTAAAGTATCCTTAGCTGTAGGGTAAATCTATCTCTCTTTTCTGGCAACCACCAATATAACTAAAGACAGAAATCATTGACATTGGTTGCTTCAGGGGACCATCTTGGTAGAGTTGGGGTGGGGTGCAGAAAGAGGCAGGTGTGTACTTTTCATTTTATAGACACTGCTGTGATTTTATGTGTTTAATTTTACCCTATTATCTTAAATATATATGTATTTTTTAATAGTGACAAGTAATTTACAATTCACTAGTCAACATGCTCTTTTCTCTTCCATGCATACAAAAGCCATAGGTTGAAGGCAAAAGATAGGACTGCAATGTATGTATATATATGTTTTATCAATTTTTCCACGGCTGTTGTGACATTCCTTATGTTCTTATACACACATTTATTCTGGCTTTGGCGCTACCTTTCAGGTTAATAGAAATCCCACATGGGAAAGCAGCAGTGAGTAAGATAACAGGAAATAAAAACATCCGGCCTCATATTCTAGTCCTTAGGATGAGCAACCACAGAAAAGATCAGCGATGACATTTCTTTATCAAATAAATACTGTTATTCATAGGACTCTTAAAGATACAGGAGTATTTTCTTTTTACAAAGAGTTTTCTCTTAAATGGAGTTTCTTCTTCCCCAAGATGCTTTAAAAAAAAAAAGACATTCACTATTTTTATTATAGAATCTCTGTAGCATTTTAACAACAAGATTTTGCTTTTGTAAATAGCTAGTAATATTGTTTTGGGCAGATGTATTTAAAAGCCTGTTGGAGAGTAAGAAAACAATTGACTTATGGACATATTTCAAAGTCTAATAAATTATCTTGCCAAAATGAGGTGTTGCTTTTTCCTGGTAATTGGACTGTTCTTTACCTGCCATTGAAGGAATGCAATTGTAAGCAGACACTAACTCCATGGCAACATGCATAGATCAGCACTTTCCTTTCCAATACCTGAAAAATGTCATTTCTATGAAATTCTGCTTAGGCTTTTTTTCCTGTTAGCAACAGATTAGATGACTAGAGGCAAAATAAATGTTTAAACATGTTTAAACTAGAAAGCAATGTTGGGTCATTCAAGGACTTAACCAAGAAAGAACAGCCTTGGCAAATGAAGGGAAAGAAGAGAGGAAGACACATAGATATCTGAAATCTGAAATCAGATTTGCCAGGGGCTCCCAGCTAATAACTTGGGAAGTCTTGCTACTTTCCTTTTACTTATCTCTTAGGAAGCTTATCGAAGGATGGCAGAATATAAAAAGAGGATCTAATCTAATCAATCCATGTAAGTACTCATCTTTTGTTTTATTCACCACTTTGCTTACTTCCAGCTGAAGTCAATATTATTAGCAACATTTTTATTACTTTATGAACTTGAATATATATTTGGTATAAAAGACCTGCAAATAACAAAGTTGTTTACCCAGGAGTTTATAGATAATTAACCCTTAGTTTGTAGGGTTTTTAAAAAACTAATATTTTATTTTCAACTTTGGCTAAGAAAGACTGCATGAACATTTATAACATCAAACTGACCACTACAAGGTATTGTGAAAAGTTAGGCCATTTTAAATGAAAAGATACTAAGAAATGGAAGCATTATATATTAGGCTTTTAAACATTGCATAAGGGATCATAAATTAAAAGAGTTTGTTGGTAAAATAAAGGTGGAAGGTCAAAGAATCTCCAAAGTCCCCTCAAAGGTATGTTTCTTTGAGTAACAGGAAAAGACTACATGAGGAAATTCAGAAGCAGAAATAAATAGTGGAATTTTAAAAAATTATAAAGTAATCTTGAAAAATACATAACTATAATGGCATGGTGGGCTACAGTTGGCATGAGAGGTAAGTGGTGAAAACAATGGTCTGTTTGTAGGAATGAGAAAAAAACTTGCCTTAGGGAACTTGTGGAACAAAGGAACAAATGTAAGAATATGTATGCAAAATTACCTATGGGTGGAATGTTCATTAGATAAATTATTTTAGAAGCAGGCCTTGAAAGCTCCCAGAGAAGCTGGTGATAGCAGAATTAACAGTAAAAATCGAAATTACATGAGTTGTTTTTGAAATTAAAAAATGAATAATAATTATTATTACACTGTAGCAATTAAAAGTGCTAGCAAGAGCAGAGATGCAATATATTGAAGACTAAATTAATGATTTAGTATCATATTCTAGAGTTCAAAAGATTAAGAGAAGAGAGGAAAACATCAAACAGGTTCAACAAAAAACTTATTAAAAGTTCATAAGACTCTAGAGATCTCACCCCTGCTATTTTTCCAAAAGCATCTCACTCTCCATCACCTTCCTTCCCCTAGCAGGGTGCCTCGTGTTCTGGTCACAGCTAATTTTCACATTTTTGTTGTCGTTGTTGAGACGGGGTCTCCCTATGTTCCCCAGGCTGGTCTCAAATCCCTGTGCTCAAGTGATCCTCCCGTCTGGGCCTCCCAAAGTGCTGGTATTATAGGCATGAGCCACCGCACCCAGCCTATTTTATTTCTTAAGACTAGAAATTAATTCCAAACCAAAAGAAAAGCTCTATGCGGGAAGGGACTGTGTCTCTCCTGCTCACTGCTGTGATCACAAGACCTACTATCGTACTTGGCATGCAGTAGGTACAAAATAAAGAATGGTTAAGTTGGGCATGGTGGCTCATACATGTAATCCCAGCACTTTGGGAGACCCAGACAGGAGGATGGCTTGAGGCTAGGAGTTTGAGACCACCCTGGTCAACATAGCAAGACCTCTGTCTCATAAAATTAAAAAATTAAAAAAAATAGCTGGATGTGGTGGCATGTGCCTGGAGTCTCAAGTACTAGGGATACTGAGGCAAGAGGATTACTTGAGCCCAGGAGTTAGAGGATGCAGTGAGCTACGATTGTGCCACTGCACACTAGCCTGGGCAACAGAACAAGACCTTGTATCTATTTAAATAAATACATAAAAAAGAATGGTTAAATGAATGAGTTAATAGATTAATAAGCAAATAGTTAATAAGCAAGTTATTAATAAGCAAAACCATGAAAATTACATGATGTAAACTATAACGGAGTAGGTAGACAAACATTTCTTCTAAGGCTGCCTTTTGCAAACATAGTATGTTTCCCCAGTCTCTTTGTGAAATTCTGGTGCCACTATGACCAAAAGCCCCTGGCATATCTGCTAGGAATCAAGGACAACAGTCAGTGGTGGACCCAGAGGCTAAATAGCCAAAAGTCTCTGAGAATTGTGTACAAGAACCAATGGTCCTCATGCTGGGATTAATTGTGTACAAGGACTGGAGAACATTTCTATTTAAGAAAAGCAAGCAAATTTGTTCAACTGCTACTTCCTAGCGAGTAACTATGGAGAACATACTTTATTCCAAGCACTAAACCAAGTCCATAGAAGGTAATGAGGAATATAATGATATAATGTAATGTCTGCTTTCATGAAACTCAGAGTCTAATAAAAGAAACACACATATACATATACAGTTTTCTTCAACCTTGAGAATTATGTTCTTGAAAACTCAATGACAGGATAATTTGTAGGTTAAAAACAAAGGAATTTAAGAGACAATAGAAATGTGGCACAAAGTTCATAATGAAAACAGGAAGGTCTTATTATATGTGAGATATTTATACCTTTAAGAACAGTTTTTCATGACAAAAGAATCATTTCCTATGATATTAAAACTTGAAATTCAGTTTATTAAGGCTCTTCTTTAAAGTTTTATGTTCAACAGACAAATATATTCTACTTTGCATTTTAGCAGTTTATTTAATTTTAATTAAATTTTTTTTTTTTTTGAGATGGAGTCTCACTCTGTTGCCAGGCTGGAGTGCAGTGGCATGATCTTGGCTCATTGCAGCCTCAGTCTTCCAGGTTCAAGCAATTCTCCTGCCTCAGCCTACCGAGTAGCTGGGACTACAGGTGCACACCGCCACACCCGGCTAATTTTTTTTTTTTTTTGTATTTTAGTAGAGACGGGTTTTCACCATGTTGCGCAGGCTGGTCTCAAGCTCCTGAGCTCAGGCAATCCACCAGCCTCGGCCTCCCAAAGTGCTAGGATTACAGGCTTGAGCCACCGTGCCCAGCCAATTTTAATTTTTGAGACAGGGTCTTGTTCTGTTTCCCAGACTGGAGTGCAGTGATGCAATTATGGCTCACTGCAGCCTTGAACTCATGGGCTCAAGGGATCCTCCTGCCTCAGTCTCCTGACTAGCTGGAACTAGAGGCATGCGCATGACAACCAGATAATTTATTTTATTTTTTTGTAGAAATGGGGTCTCATTATGTTGACCAGGGTGATCTCAAACTCCAGGCCTCTAGTGATCCTCCTGTCTGGGCTTCCCAAAGTGCTGGGATTATAGGCGTGAGCCACTGTGCAGAGCCAAAATTTTAGCAGTTTCTGAATAATGTTTGATAGGTTCCATTCAATATGTTAAAATATTTTTAAGCTATACTTACAAAATATTCAATTTCCTTCTTTAATACTTCACTTGTATACCTTAAAATCCTCTCGAATATAAAATTAGTTCTTAAAAGATGATAAGCTTTTAAATAATTTGATTCCTAAGTTCTCTTAAATATTTTAATAGATACCCTTAATAAAGGCTTGACTTAAAGTCTAAATCAATAACAAAATAAATCATTTTAAATTAGAATTAAATGTTTTATATGTTTCTCTAAAAAGCCGATTTTCTTTTTTATTTCAAGGACATTCCAAATATGCTCAGATTCCATAACATAGAAATATTAATATAATAATTCTGATTTTCTTTAACAGTTCTGTACTTAATTCTAAATATTCTAATAGTTAGAGGATGCTTACTTAGTAAGGAAATAATTACATCATCTTAAGACAATTTCAGCATCTCTTTCCCAACACTTGAGCTTTCACAACCAGAGCTTTTGGCTCTTTTGGATTCTTATTAGGGGCTCATGGAACAGGTTTAGCATTACTTGTTTTCTATCATATATCAATGTGACTTATAGCCCAAATAAATCACATCATTGGGTTCAACTTAAAAGTATCTGATTCTTCTACCAACTCCATAGACATCTCACACTCCTGGCCTAGCTGCTTATATTGCATGGTTGGTTTTGTCGTTTGTAAACACTTAAGATGTATACATGCATTTTCTGGCTACCTTTGATCTGGAAGGAGTCTTATATTTAAAACATAGACTTCCTATTTCCTAGGACAGACAACTCTTATTAATACTATAATGATAATTCAATTTTAAATATTTCAGTGGCTTAGTTCAACAGTTCAGTTACAACTTCTGAATCAGTCAGAATTTGAGTTACACTGCATGTAACAAAAAGTCCAAAGATCTATTGTTTAAAAAAAAAGTGCTTTTAATTTTCTCATGTATGAGGAATATAGAAATAGGCAGAAAATTGCTGATATGGCAACTTCATTATGTTATCAGACACACAAATCTTTATATTTTTCACCCAGCCTTCCCATTCTCATGGACAAAAGATATTGCATGCTTAACAAACAAACAAACAAAACAAATTGAAAGTCAGCATATAAAATAGGAAAAAAAGTCCTTTTAAAAAAAATGCTTATGTAAGCATTTAAGCTTTTAAAAAACAGCTTTATTGGGCCAGGTGTGGTGGCTCATGCCTGTAATTTCAGCACTTTGGGAGACTGAGGCAGGTCATCTGAGATCAGGAGTTGAAGACCAGCCTGGCCAACATGGCAAAACCCCGTCTCTACTAAAAAATACAAAAAAATAGCCTGGCGTGGTGGTGGGCGCCTGTAATCCCAGCGACTCAGGAGGCTGAGGCAGGAGAATCGCTTGAACTCAGGAGGCAGAGTCTGCAGTGAGCCGAGATTGTGCCACTGTACTCCAGCCTGGGCAACAGAGAGAGACTCCATCTCGAAAACAAAAACAAAACAAACATTAGCAACAACAACAACAACAACAACAAAACAGCTTTATTATAGTATAATTGACATACAAGAAATTGCACATATTTAAAGTGTACAATTTGGTCACTTTTGACATATGTACATACCTGTGAAACCATCATTACTATCAAGATAACGAAATTAACTATCTAGGTCAAATATTTCCTCAAAACCTCTTTGAAATCTCTTCCTATTGTTCTTCCCCCTCCCACCAATACCATTCCCTGACAACCAATATCTGCTTTAACTATAGAATAGTTTACATTTAATATAACTTTATGTGAATGGAATAACAGACACAGCACAGTGGCTCATGCCTGTAATCCCAGTACTTTGGAAGGCTCAGGTGGGAGGATCACTTGAGTCTAGGAGTTCGAGACCAGCCTGGGCAACATAGTGGTACCTCATCTCTACTATAATTAATTAAATAGCTGGGAGTGGTGATGTACGCCTGTAGTCCCAGATACTTGGGAGGCTGGAGTGGAAGGATTGCTGGAGCCGAGGAGGTTGAGGCTTCAGTGAACCATGATTGCACCACTGCACTCCAGCCTGGGTGACAGAGGAGAACTTGCCTCAAAATAATTAAATAAATGGAATAACAATATATACTGGTTTGTCTGGCTTATTTAGTTCAGCATAATTATTTTGAGATTCGTCTATGTGGTAATATAAACCACATATAGGTCTATGTGATAACATAGACCTATATCAATAGGTCATTACTTTGTACTGCTGATTAGTTTTTTGTGTATAGATACATACTATAACTGCTTATTTGTCTTTTTATCTGTTGATGCACATTCTGGTAGGTTTTGATTTTTGTCTACGACAAGTAAACTTCTGTGAACATTAACAAGACTTTGGATGGACTTACGCTTTCATCTCTCTAGCAAATACTTAAGGTTAAATGATTGGATCATATAATATGTATATTTTTAACTTTTTAAAGAAAATGCCAGAGTATTTTTTTTACTGGTCATGACATTTTACAATCCCACCAGCAGATGAATGTTCCAGTCCCACCACATCCTCAAAACACTTGATATGGTCAATAGGTTTGACGTTTAGGCATTTAATTAGGTGCATAGTGATACCTCATTATAGTTTTAATTTACATTTTCCTACTAGCTAGTAGATTTCAGGCATCATTTCATGTATGTATTTGCTATCCTTAAATTGTCTTTGGCAGGGTATTTTTTCAAATATATTTTCCATCTTTTAATTGAGTTGCTTGCTATTTTATTATTGAGTGTCAAGAGCTTTTTATGTATTTTGGAAATGAGTCCTCTATCCCATACATGATTTGCAAATATTTCACCAGTCTGTGACTTGTCTTTTCATTCCTTAAGAAGTGCCTTTTGACAAAAGAACATCTAGAACTAATAAGGTCTCCTTACAAAAGATTAACATGCAAAAATTCATTATATTTCCCTATACTTTCCATGAAAATGTGGATGCTAAAATTAAAAACACATGCCACTTATGATCACTAAAAAAGTGAACTACTTAGATGTTAATCTAAGGTAACATGTATCGGACTTGTATACCCCAAACTCCAAAATACTGATGAGATAAATCAAAGAATATCTACATAAATGTAAAGACAAACCCTGTTCATGGATTTGAAGACTCAACATACTCAATATAGTAAAGATATCAATTCTCCCCAAATTGAAATACAGGTTTAACACATTTCTATCATTAATCCCAGTAAGAATTTTTGGAGATACATATAAGATTGTTCTAAAATGTATATGGAAATGCAAAGGAACTAGAATAGTGGAAACAATTTCAAAACAGAAGAATGAATGGGGGAAGAATCAGTTTACTCAGTTTCAAGACTTACTAGGTGGTTACATTAATGAAGATTGTGTGGTATTGGGAGAAAATTAGACATATAAGTCAATGGAGCAAAATAGAGAACTCCAAAATAAACCCATAAGCAGGCCTAGCTAATTTTTGACAAAAATGCAAATGTAGTCCAATAGGAGAGAACATAGCCTTTTCCACAAAGCTGGTGCTGAAGCCAGTGGAGATACATAGGCAAAAAAAAAAAAAAAAAAAAAAAAAAAAAAGACCATTGACCTAAGTCACATGCCTTATACAAAAATTAATTCAAAATGGGTCAAGAGATTAAATGTAATACATAAAACTATAGCACTTTTAGAAAAAAAAATAGGAGAAAATCTCTGGAACCTCGGGTTAGGCAGAGTTCTTAGATTTAAAACCAAATATATAATCTATACAAGAAACAAAATGATACTATAGGCTTTGTCAAAATTAAGAGCTATTAACTCTCTGTTAAGAGATGAAAAGAAAGCTATAGATGATTGGGAGAAAATATTTGTTCGCCACATATCCAACTAAAGATTAGTATCTAAAATATATAAAGAATTCTCGAATATCGGGAGTGAAAAAATAAACAATCCAATAAGAAAATGGGCAAAGGGCATGAAGAGATACTTCACTGAAGAAGATACACAGATGGCAAATAGGGACATTAAAACAGGGTGACCATGATTAGCCTTTAAAAAACGCAAATTGATACCATAATGAGATAACACTGCACACCTATATAAATGGCTAAAAGAAACAGACAACACCAAATGTTGATGAGGATCTGGAGGATCTGGATCTAGAGAATGAAGGAATGTAAAATGGTACAACCACTCTGGAAGGCATTTTGGTACTTTTTGAAAAAAGTAAACATGATACTTACCAACCAAATAATCCATCAATTACATCCTTGGGTATTTATGTCAAATAAATGAAAAACTTATATTCACACAAAAACTTGTATACAAATATTTATAGCTGTTTTATAAATAACAGCCAAATGCAGGAAATAACCCAGGTCTTCAAATGGGTGAATGGTTAAACCAACTGTTGTATACCCACACCATGAAATACTACACAGCTACATATACACCAATACATGCAACAACCTAGATTAATCTCCAAAGAATTATGATGAGTGAAAAAAGTCACTTCCAAGAGTTTGTATATATACTGTATGATTCCATTTAAATAACATTCTTGAAGTGACAAAACTATAGAAATGGAGAACAGATTATTAATATCCGAGGTTAAGGAGAAGGTGAGGGCAGGAGGAAAGTCAGTGTAGATATAAAAGGACAGCATGAGAGATCCTTGTGGTGATAGAAATGCTCTGTATCATTGTGAATATCTTGGTCGTGATATTGTATATTGTACTGTAGTTTTGCAAGCTGTTGCCATTGGGGATTACTGGGTAAAGGATATATGGGATTGTTCTGTGTTATTTCTGACAACTGCATGTGAACAAGTACAATTAAAACATAAAGCACCTTTTGAAGTAGAGGAATTTCCAATTTTGGTGAAATCTAAGTTATCAGTGTTTTCCTTTAGGGATTGTGTTTTTGGTATTTTATTTTATTAATTAATTAATTTTGAGACAGAGTGTCACTCTGTCACTCAGGCTGGAGTGCAGTGGTGCAACAGGACTCACTGCAAACTCCACCTCCCAGGTTCAAGCAATTTTCATGCTTCAGCTTCCCTAGTAGCTGGCATTACAGATGTGCGCCACCCTGCCCGGCTATTTTTTTTTTTTTTTTTAGTAGAGACTGAGTTTTGCCCTGTTGGCCAAGCTGGTCTCGAACTCTCTGCCTCAAGAGATCCACCTGCCTTGGCCTCCCAAAGTGATAGGATTACAGGCAGGCATGAGCCACCACGCCTTATATATTTAAGACGTCGTTGCCTAATGCAAGGTAGCAAAGATTTTCTCCTAGGTTTTCTTCTAGAAGATTTTCAGCTTTAGTTTCCTACCTTCCATTCTATCATCCATTTTGAATTAATTTTTGTACATGACTTAAGCTATGGATTGAATTTCATTTTTCTGCCTGTGGATATCCAAATGTTCCAGCATCATTTATTGAAAAGATTGTCCTTTTCCCACGTAATGTTCTTTCACTGTGTTGAATGACCTCAGCTCCAACCTTAGGAAACAAGAAAAGGAACAGCAAATGATGTATTATCCTTCTTTTAATATATTGAATATATTGTTGGATTTCATTTGCTAACATTTTGTTTAGAATCTTTGTATCTATGTGCATAAGGAAAATGTTTTGTAGCTCTCTAGTAATTGTCTGGTTTTGGAATCAGGGTAATGCTGATCTCAGAATGTGTTGGGAAGTATTCCATACTCTTCAATTTTCTGAAAGAATGGGTATAGAATTACATTATTTCTTCCTTAAATGTTTGGTAGACTTTGCCAGTGAAGTTGACTGGGCTTGCAATTTGCCTCATGGGAAAGTTTTAAACTACAAATAGTTTCTTAATAGATATAAAGCTATTCAAATAATCTCTTTCTTTTTGAGTGAGCTTTGGTAATTTGTCTATTTCAAGGAGTACGTCTATTTCATAAATTTTTCCAGTATGAAATATTTATAATATTACCTTATGATCCTTTTAATACTTGTGGAATCTACAATAATGTAACATCTCTCATTCCTGATACTGATAATTTGTGGCTTCTGTCGTTTTTTCCTTATGAGTCTTGTGAGAGGATTATCAATTTTACTCATTTTTTCAACAACCAGCTTTTAGTTTCGATGACTGAAACTAAAACTATTGTCTCTGTCTTCCATTTCACTGATTCCCTCTTTGACTTCTCATCTTAAAATTTCATTTTCTCTTCCTTTTTTTGTTTTTTAAGAGTGAAGTTGAGGTCACTGACTTGAGGTGCTTTTTTGCTTCTGTTACAGATATTTAGCTTGTAGCTTCCCCTTAGCTCTGCTTTAGTAGATCGTACAAATATTGATCTATCATGTTTTCCTTTTCATTCAGTTCAGAAATACTTTCTAATCACTCCTTTAGCTCTTTCCTTAGCTCATGGTTAATTTAGAAGTGTGCTATTTAGTTTCTAAATATTTGGGAGCTGTTGGTTTGAATTGAATTCTACTATAGTCAGAGAATATACTTTGAATGTCTTAAATCGTAAATTTACTAAGATTAGTTGTAAAGTCCAAGATATGCTCTAACTTGGGTAAATGTTCTGTGTGTACTTGAAAGAAATGTGTATCTGCCACTGTTGGATGGAGTGTCAATTAGGTTAAGTTGGTTGATAGTGTTATTCAAATATTTTATATCCTTATTACATACTATTTTTTGTGTACTAGTTCTATCAATTATTGAGAAAGTATTAAAATCTCTGACTCTGTGATTTTTTTCTATTTTTATTTCATCACTATCATGCATTTGGAAGCTCTGTTTATTTATATTTAGATTATTTTACTTTATTATTTTTGAGTCAGGATCTCACTCTGCTGCCCAGGTTAGAGTGCAGTGGCACGATCATGGCTCACTGCAGCCTTGACCTCCCCAGGCTCAAGTGATCCCCCCACCTCAGCCTCTCAAGTAGCTGGGACTTCAGGTGCATGCCACCACACTTAGCTAATTTTTTGTATTTTTTTGTAGAGATGAGGTCTTGCCATGTTGCCCAGGCTGAAGCTCTGTTTTTAGATGTTTAACTTTTAGATTTATGTCCTCTTGTCGGAATGACCCCCTTTATCATTAAGAAATGGCCCTGGTAATATTGTTTGTTCAGAAATTGTATTTATCTGAATTAATATAACCATTCTAGCTTTCTTTCTTTTCCTTTTTTCTTTTTTATTTTTTTGAGACACGATCTGATGTAGTTTGGATATATGTTCCCATCCTAATCTCATATTGAATTATACTCTCCAGTATTGGAGGTGGGGCCTGTGGAAGGTGACTGGATCATGAGAGTGAATTTCTCATGAATGGTTTAGCACCATCCCTTTGATGTTGTCCTTGCAATACTGAGTGACTTCTCATGAGATCTGGCTGTTTAAAAGTGTGTGACAATTCACTTTTTCTTGCTGCTGCTTTCACCATGTGATGTGCCTGCTCCCCCTTTGCCTTCTGCCATGACTGTAAGCTTCCTGAGGCCTCACTAAGAGCAGATGCTGCTATGTTTTCTGTATAGCCTGCAGAACAATAAGCCAATTAAACCTCTTTCCTTTAAAAATTACCTGGCAATGCAAGAATGGCCTGATACGAGGTCTCACTCTGTTGCCAGGCTGAAGTGCTGTGGCATGGTCATAGCTCACTGTGACCTTAAACTACTGGGCTCAAGGGAAACCACTGCCTCAGCCTCCTGTGTAGCTTGGACTACAGGTGTGTGCCACCACGCCCAGAAGATTAAAAAAAATTTTTTTTGTAGCCACAAGGTCTTGCTATGTTGCCCAGGCTGGCCTCAAACTCCTGGCCTCAAGCAATTCTTATGCCTGGGACTCCCAAGGTGGGTTTATAGGCATGAGCCACCATGCCTGGGTTACCTTTTCTTTTCTTTTTTTTTTTTAAATAGTGTTAGCATGGTGTATCTTTGTATATACTTTTATATTCAATCTCTGATAAATAAATATATATAATATTTAATATATTAATTATATTTAAGGTTTGTTTCTTATAGGCAGGATATAGTTGAGTTTTGCAACTTAACTATTCAATTTTATCATCTTTGTCTTTTAATTGGTGTGCTTAGACTACTTATCTTCAATGTGATTATTGATATGGTTGGGCTGTTCTTCACTCCCCTTTTCCTCTTTATTTTCTTTTTCTGCCTTTAAAAGTTTGCTTTTTCTTTCATTTACTTCTTGTTGGCTTCTTTTACATTATTTTGATGCTTTTTTAAGGTATTAAAATATACATCTTTCATTTACTGATATCATACCACACTTCACATGTAGTATGAGAAAACTGCAAGTGTATATTTTCATTTCTGCCCTCCTGGCACTTGTACTATGGCTGTCATACACTTCGTAATGAATATACACACACACAATACATTATATTTATAGAATATAAATTATATAAAATGTATACTATATAATTTACATATGAAATCTTAGAACTTTTGCAAGGGCCAGAGATTCGGACTTGGAGGCTGTTTTCAAGTACATCTTAACTCTCCCATTGCTGCTGCAGTAGAGACCCTTCTGCTGCTGCTACCACTGGGAAAACATACCACAGCTAAAATGTGGACATGGGTACATCCCCACTACAACTGCTGCTGCTACCTCTTCAGGCTGTATGTCCCTCTGTCAGTCCCTACCACCCTCCCTATGATGTACCTTATGGATAGCCTTCCTCTTCATGTTACTCTCTTCCAATTAAAGCCTTGTGCAGATTTGTTGCTTGGCTGAGCCTGGGTCACATGCCTGCCCCTAACTCCAGAGAATGCTGGGAAAGTGAGCTTCTGGCTTCCTATTTTGGCAAGGCAATGTTCGTAATTCAGGCACTTCCCTAAACAGAGAAAAAGGGTCCAAATGTAGGAAGTGATCAAAAAGTATAATAAAAGTCTACTATCTATTGGGAGATAAAAAATATGTATAGATTTTATCCAAGCAGAAAACATAGTTTTAAAAATAAAGACACAAAGCAATTTTGCTACACACCTAAACTATAACAGAAACCTAAAGCTTTATTTTTTAATATCAGCAAAGGCTTTAAAATTATGGGAGTATATTAGTTGACTGCTTTCCCCTCCTCATTCACACTGTGAGTCTCTCATCCATCAGGATGATAATTGAAAGCTCAGTCTATACTTAGCCTGTAGGTCTGTGAGAAATAGCTGTGATTACTATGGGGCTCCTGCATGGAAATTTCATGGCAATTTTACAAAGCAAAGATCATACAGAAGAAATTGACTTTGCTTTTCTTGTCAGTGCACTATTACATTCTTATTTTCTTTCCAAATCACTCCCTGATGAATATCTGCCATCATTAGCCAGTGGCAATAACATATTTACTGAATTTTTCTATACTCTTCCAAACATCTCTTATAACAAATAAATAACTCAGAGAAAATAATGCAATTATCTTAACTCTTCAGCTCAGAAACACATTTCTTTTTTGTATTGCATTCTGAGGAATGTTTTTTTCCCACTAGGAAGCTTTATTTTTCTTTTTAGTATTAGGGAGAGCTACTAAAATGGTTCATCTCTTTCTAGTTCTCTACAGAGTTCAGAGTAATTTTCCGAGATGAGAGATCATTGACTGATAAGTATATAGACTTAGCTTTCAGCTTCAAAATTTTCAAGACTTTTTTCAAAGATTTTCAAAGCATTGATTCTTAGTCTATGTTTTGAGATTTATGGATTTATATAATATTTCTATTCTTTGAATATTTTTCTTAAGAAGAATGTGCAAAACCACAGAGTGATAGGCAGAGTGATCACATGTCTGGTTAGTAGCTAAGAAAGATGTTCATTAATATGGAGACAATACACACAGAAGTTGTGCATTGCTACTTGTAATCTAGAACTCCCCAAATTGATGATAAAACAGACAGTGATCACTAGTAGGCCAGATAAAGGTAGAAACTAAGTAGATTTTAAAACTGAAGTAAAGTAAATTATTAACTCTTTAATTTGATCAGCTGACATTTCATAAATAATTTTGGTACCAATTAGGAATAACTATTTTTGTTACAGTTTTGTTTTTCATATTATTGTCTTGAAATGGAGAAAAAAAGTCATTGTATTTAAATAATTTTTAAATTTCAGTCCATCCATCTTTTGTCTCCCGTGAACTTGACTAGAAATTTGTCTTTATCAGTTCTTTGGTATATAATAATTTATATGATCATCTAGTTTTACACATGGGCATGTGGTGTTTTCCTACTTGAGAATGAGAACAATTAAGGACTGTGCCAAATAAACTACTTTTCATAGAGTAAATGCTCAAAAAACAGTATATTTCTATTAAAATCTATAATGTATGCAATGTGTTTCTTAAGATAAAGCATTTTATGTCTCATTGGTTGCTCAGTTAAAATCTGACCACTGGTTGGACTAGAGTTGGGGTTTAGATGTGATGCTCTACAGGCACTTCATGTTACCTCAAGTTGTTATTATTTCATTGTATTATCCTTAAATGTGGAAAGTCATGACTTACATACCCATGTCAATCAGAGTCCATACAGACTGATACCATTCATTGATTCATTAATATGTTCTTGGAATAAATATTTGAGCCCCTACATGCGGCAGCACTGTACTAGCTGGCCTCAAGGGCTTTAGTGTTAAACAAAGCAAACACAGGCCTTGCTCTCATTTACTAAGGACACTCTTTAATTGCAGGCCAAGTTGTAGATTAAACCTCTCTAATTGCACCTATGAAGATAAGTTTTCTAAAAGAATTCCCAGTTTAAGAAAATCACAGGAAGAGAGTAGTGAATGCTCCAAAGGATCTCTGTCTCACATTTATTGACTCTTAGCATGAAAATCAAATGTGAAAGCAACTTCAGCATTACCCAAAGGTGGTTCAGTGTATTCTAGGTATAAAAATGTTCCATGGTATACATTTGTATTAGTCCGTTTTCACATTGCTATAAAGATACTACCAGAGGCTGTGTAATTTATAAACAAAGGAGGTTTAATTGACTCACCATTCTGCATGGCTTGGGAGGCCTCAGGAAACTTACCATCATGGCAGAAAGGGAAGCAAGCACCTCTTCACAAGGTGGCAGGAAAAAGAAGCATGAAGGAGGAATTTCTAAACACTTATAAAGCCATCAGATCTCATCAGAACTCACTTTCATGAGAACAGTATGGGAGGAACTGCCCCTATGATCCAATCACCTCCCTCCTTTGACACGTGGGGATTACAGGTCCCTCCCTCAACATGAGGGGATTACATTATGAGATGAGATGTGGGTGGGAACACAGAGCCAACCCATATCAACATTATAAAAATTGTGAGAGAGAATCTGGAGGGAAATTACAATAGCATGCTTTTGGATATATTGAGGTTGGCCACTCTTGCTGAAATGTTTTTTGCACAAGTTAATTTAAATGATCATTTTATTTTGCATGTGTAAGTACTACTGACAGGGAAGACAAAAGTATCTTTCCAAACAGTGTTTGTTCATGCCATGCAACATTATATGGACAATGAGTTACACAATTTGTTTTATCAAATTAAAAGTTTTTGGTTTTTCTGAGTTGAGAGTATAAGGAAAGAGGAATTTATTAATTTATATAACACTCATTAGCCAATTATAAAATATATGTTGATTGTTTCAGCTGCATACTTTGCTTAGTTTTAACTTGATAAATTCATTCAATTTGGCTAAGTAGGGTCACAGTGGTACCATGCCTACTGTACTTACAATTTCCGACAGAGTGAGTGTTACAACTGAGTTTACAATTTGGATTCAAAATGCAAAACAAAATATATAAAATTGTTTAAAACAGAGTGATCAGTAAGGAGCTCATCATGTTACAAGTTCAATTTAAAGGGTATTTTCCACCTGGGCCTGGTGGCTCATGCCTGTAATCCCAGCACTTTGGGATGCTAAAGCAGGAGGGAGGTTGAGGTGGAAGGATCGCTTGAACCTAGTAGGTCAAGGATGCAGTAAGCTGTGATGGCACTGCTCTACTCAAGCCTGGACTACAAAGCAAGACCCTGGCTCAAAATTTAATAAATAAATAAATAAAAATAAAATTATTTTCCACTAACTAGCTCAAACATTGAAACTGCCTGAAGAACCAGTCTCAAACCAAATTAATCACATCTCAGTGAAATAAAGTGAGTTGTTAGTTTCATTAGTGAGTCTACTTTGAAACAAATACTTCCCATTGTTCTCATTTCAGATCGCTCAATCCTGCTTAATGAGAGCATTCCTTGAATTGACAAGTCAAATTGGGTTTTCTTTTTTGTTTCTTTTTAATTTTGATCATTTGTAGGTATTCATCTGGGTCAATAAAGAATATTTTGACACTCCACAACCAAAATTCAACTACTCTGGTTTTTTTTCCCTGTAGCAATCATTTAGTACATTGTGCTATGTATTATTAGTTACTTTTATATTTGGCCATGTGGATATTTTACTAGCTGAAAGACATTACATTTGAGGATAGGAACTAGGTACTATCCTTATGTGTACACATTGGAAACTTATGATATCTGAAAATGCTGAAGTCCTCTTGCCACTTTGGGGGAAGCCAGTGGAGGGCAAACCCAATATGCTAAGAATAGCAGAGTAGAGAAAGTGATAGAACCTGGCTCCTTCATAACATTTTTGGAAAAAGCTGATCATACCATTCCCAACAGCTGGCCATTCAGATTCATGCCATGTATTTCTGTAGTGTTTAGGACAGTTTGAATGTGGATTATCTGTTAGAATTGAAATCATCCAAATATGAATACTGTATTATTATTCCCAGTTACAGAAGAGAAAACTGAAGCTTATAGAGAATAAGTTGCCCAAGGTTACACAAGGAAGTAGCATAGTGAAGACATGAAGTGGAGTCTTTGTGACTACATCTTAGGCTCACTCCACCCCTCACCCCCAAATACACAAGATTACCCATTTAACAGAACTCTTTCCCTATTCTTGTTATTAATATCATCTTCTTTCTTATGATGATGTTCTTTTTTGTTTCCTTGCCTTTTTTTCTCAGAGGAAGAAGTGTCTCTCCTCCTCCCTATGGCTAGGCTAGCCTTGCCTCACCCCATATGTTCTTGCTCATATCCTTTCTGCCTTCTTTGGGACTTTGTCCTATCAATCATTCCAGCTCTTGAATTGACTATTTCTTTTTACTTCAGCATCTAAATAAATTCATGTCATACCTAATCCCCATCCACACCCTTTCCCTTGATCCTGATAACTCTTTAAGCTACTCTTTCATTACATTTAGCAAGAGACTTATAGAAAATGCAGCCTATGTTTGATATTTCCACTAATTTCATCTTAATTAAAATTGCTTTCTTAAAAGTCTCTGAGGGGAAACAGGCATTGCAACTCTCCCTACCCAAAGGAGGAGGAGATGATATAATGATGTGTCACAGGCTCTATTGCTGATCGGGTCATAGTTACTAGTGGGCAGGGTCAGTGTATGTTAAAAGGTCATCCATCCCTCATGCCTTCTTGTGCTTCCTGCTCCTTGTCTCTCTGTAGTGGCAGATCTAGACAGGGCACTGGCCATTGGGGTATGCTGACCATCTTTTCTTATTTCCCTCCATTCTTGTCTCCTTCCTTTCAGCTTTTTCCTCCTCCTCCTTACAGCAAGTCAAAGAAAGGTTCTTGTGGGAAGTACTAAATACCCAAGTATCTTATACTTCATAACTAAGCCATAGGACCCATACTTTACCTTTGTACTTATTAATAATACAGTATCTTTCTTCTGATGCTGCTATTGCTTATTATACATACAGAGATGAGGAATAATCAAAATGATGGGATTCTGGCATTACTAGGCTTCATGAAGGTAATACCATCAAAATAACATTTTGATTCTTCACAGTCACCGTTCATTGACTTTCTCTTTTTTTTTTTTTTTTTTTTTTGAGACAGAGTCTCTCTGTTGCCCAGGCTGTAGTGCAGTGGTGCAATCTTGACTCACTGCAACCTCTGCCTCCTGGGTTCAAATGATTCTCCTACCTCAGTCTCCCAAGTAGCTGGGATTACAGGGATGCGCCACCACACCCAGCTAATTTTTATATTTTTAGTAGAGATGGGGTTTCACAATGTTGGCCAGGCTGGTCTTGAACTCCTCACCTCAGATGATCCACTTACCTCGGTCTCCCAAAGTGCTGGTATTACAAGCATGAGCCACTGCATCTGGTCTTTCATTGACTTTCTATAATAAAATTCAAAGATTTTCCATGAGTTTTCATTCTCTTTGATCTCTGTGTAATATAATTGATTCTCTTAGCCAGTTCTTCCTTCTTGAAATGGTTTACTTGGCTTTTATGCCATGTTAACTTACTAATTACTTATGGCAACTCAAATATATTGGTTTTATTGCCAGCATTTATTCGCCTGACTTCTGGCAAAATAGCACATCACATTTCTTATGGGAAAACCTCCTATAGTCTAAGCCCATGTAATTTACCTTCACTCACAGCTCATGATGTGGGTGTTGATTGGCCCCAGCCTGATCACCAAACTGTAATCTCCCAGCTGCAGTAACTGGGGCAGGAATGGTACCACAACTGACAAATCCAATTACATACAATATAAGTTTGCTAGGGCTTTGGAGAAAGAGGCTCTTTTTCTGTCCTTTCAGACATGAGTGGAAAAGGATATTATATTAGGCTGTTCTTGCTATAAAGAAATATCTGAGACTGGATATTTTATAAGAAAAGAGGTTTAATTGGCTCACAGTTCTGCAGGCTGTACAGAAAGCACAGCACTGGCATCTGTTTCTGGAAAGATCTCAGGAAGCTTACAATCATGGCGGAAGGCAAAGGGGGAGCAGGCACATCACACGGTGAAAGCAAAGGACCAGATCTCCTGTGAACTCAAAAGGAGCTCATTTATCGCCAAGGAGATGACCCAAGCCATTCATTTGGGATCCACCCCCAGGATCTAAACTAGTCTTGTCAGGCCTCAACTTCAACACGGGGGATTACATCTCAACATGCGATTTTGATGGGGACAAATATCCAAACTATCTCAGGTATAGGGCTTGGAGTTTGCTACAGCCCTTTGAGCACCACATAAAATTTAAGAATGGAGCCTAAGGAGTAGGAAGCAGAGTGGAGAAATGGACGTCTGTGTGACATCCTGGTGTTTTTAGTCCTTTATCCAACTGCACTTGACGCCAACTTATTAGAGAGTTTTCAGAGACAATAGACAATAAGTACTCCCTCTTTCCCATTATTTTGGCTTAAACCAGTTTGATCTCGATTCTCTATCTCTTGCATCCAAAACAATTCAAAAACAAACAAATAAAACAACAATATATATATATGTATTTTACCATGTACATACATATGCATATAAATTCATAGAGAAAGTTCTGGAAAGATATATTTCAAAGTGGTAGAGGTGGTTATCTCTGGCCAAAGGGGTCTGTTATGGTGGGAAAGACGATTGAGAAGGGGCTTTTCGCCTTTCTTTATTGTTAGACTGCTTTGGAACATGTTACTGGAGGTTGTAAAGCAAATATCCTCAAAGCTGGAACTATAGAACTCACTGCAAACCAATAATGACTCTTGTAATTAAATTTGCCCTGCAATAGCAATTAATTATATTTCAAAAATACCCTTTAACACTCTCGTCAATGAGTAGTTGCTGCACCATTATCTGCTCTTCAAATGAGAGAAAAAAAAAAAAAGCAAAGCACAAGCTAATCTTGTGGTTTGTGGAAAGTTTTACGGTAAAACAATGGTGGTGTTGACATTCATCTCTTTTGATTCTCAGCCCATGGGTTTTCCAGTTCATCATAAACCGCAGCTGGGGCCGACTTTGGGGAACTCCATATTAGACTCACGCGCTGATGCTAAGTTGAACTGGACTCCCTCTCAAGGCTGAGACGAATTCTGTTTAACTCTCCGAAGCTTTTTTTTTTTTTTTGAGATGGAATCTCGCTCTGTCGCCCAGGCTGGATTGCAGTGGCACGATCTCGGCTCACTGCAACCTCCGCCTCCTGGGTTCAAGCAATACTCTGCCTCAGCCTCCCGAGTTGCTGGGATTACAGACGCGTGCCGCCATGCCCGGCTAACTTTTGTATTTTTAGTAGAGACAGGGTTTCACCACGTTGGCCAGGCTGGTCTTGAACTCCTGACCCCGTAATCCACCCGCCTCAGCCTCCCAAAGTGCTGTGATTACAGGCGTGAGCCACCGCGCCCGGCCTCCGATGCCTTTTTTTTCACGTCACATTTCTTTTAAAATGTAACCTGACCGCAGATACATAACTGTCCTAATACGGAACAGAATTTTTAAAGTAGTTTCTTGTTCTATGACCCCAAAGCTGAATTTCAAGCAAGGAATGCTCAGGAACCAAGATGTTCACTGCACCAGCTGAGACAAAAAGTAGTTTATTTTCATCTCAGCAAGAGGGAACTGTCAAAGAACCAGATGCTTCTCATCTGCGGAGCCCTTCTCTTCAGAAGCCGTGGGAATTGGCTCACCACCAGGGGGCGCAGTTTTACTATACCGTAGCATGCCGCGGAAAAGGCGCGCTCTCACCTGCAATATTGTCCGAGGTCTGAATATTAAAGAGTTCATTGCTGCAGATCTAAAGGCTCTCTCTGTTTAACTGATGCCTGGGAATGACGGTAGAGCCTTGCTTTAAAGCCAGACGATAACATTTAAATAGTTAAGCCGTCTGGCTTCATTAGTTTATTTTTCCTTGTTGCTGGCAAGGAAAGTACTATATTGTAGAGATAATCGTGACTGATAATCAAAACGAAAGCAGTTTTGACAAATTCTAATATAAGTTTTTACTGAAACAGGAATGACAAAATCCTTTTGTCTGAAAGGAAAAAAGTTATAGCTGCATGAAAAATAGGCCCCAGGCTAAGAAAGCTTTTGCTCAAATAAGGGAAATAAAAGAGCAGTGGAATTGTAGGAATAGAATCATATGATGCTTGACTTTTTGCCCTCAGCCTGAAGAATGAAAGCAAATTAGAGGCACAAAACATCTTTAGCAGTCCCAGCTGCTAGGAAGGCTGAGGCAGGAGAATCGCTTGAACCTGGGAGGCGGAGGCTGCAGTGTGCCGAGATAGCGCCACTGCACTCCAGCCTGGGCGACAGAGCGAGAATCTGTCTCAAAAACAAAACAAAACAAAACAAACTATCTTTAGCCCCTGATGCGCAACTGTATATTTTAAAAACATTTAAATTAAAGGGGGAAACAAACCCCAAATGAACCAACAACTGTTAATTCACTCAACAGTTTAAAAAATTGGTTGCAAATAACGTTATCTTTGCTTTGTTTCAAGTAAATGAGGCTGTTAAAACAGTGCCTCATGGAGGGCAACAGTGGGGATTCTCAGGAGAGAAGCTATCCTACCTTTTGGTTAGCATGTTGGGGCGGGGAAATGGAGACTGCCTGCCGAATCACAAATCAGGGTCTTGAGTTTTCTTTCTATTTCTGGGAATTACCCGTTACATGAGTGGAATGCATATATGTGAATTTTCTTTTACAGGTCGGGGATCCATGGAAGGAGGGTTTGGGATTCACCACAGAGATATGTTCTCTGTCCTCAAAGAATCAAATGTACCATTCCTTTAAAATAAGCATAAATTGAGGAGGGACTGGCGATGAGAGTGGAAACTAGCTATAGAAATGGGAGCATGCAGCCCTGAATTGCTCCAGAACAAACACATTTAATGCCAGGGAAGTAGACCACGCTGGGTAATGTCACAATACTATAAAAGGAAGGGTACTTGCTAGGTCCTATTCTAGGATATTTTTTCCAGCCCTCTCTCTAGGCTGCTGGAAGGACAGTGAGGCTGGTTTAGGTGCTCTCTCCCTCCTCTCCAAACACGGCAAACATTCTGGGTGGCTTCCCGTCTGGAAGCCTGTTGCCTGATGGCATCGCCACATTGGCTTGCTCCACCGCTGCAGCTCGGAAGGCAGGGTTAATTCCATACGGTTGCCAGAGCCCTAAATGAGGGAGCCTAGGTCAGAGGTCGCACCCACCGGGAGGGCGGGGTTTAGGGGTCCGGGGCGGGCTGAGCCTGGCCCCGCCCAAGGAGGGGGCGGGACGTTTCCCGGGCCCCGCCCCGCCGGCCCGGGGTTGCACGTGACCCGCGGTCCCGCCTCCCGCCCGCTCCGCAGCGCCAGCTCGGCAGGCGCGGGGCGTGAGTGTGGAGTGAGACCCGCCGGGCTCCAACTCCGCAGCGTCGGAGCGCGGCGGGCAGCAACTTTCTCCCCGGAGCGGCCGTGGCGGCGGCTGCTGCCGTGGCAGCCGGAGCGGAAGCCGGGAGGAAGAAAGCGGCGGCAGCGGCGGTTGCTCCCGCCGGCTCGGGCTGTCTAGCTCGCCGAGACTGCCGGCCCGCGGAGCCGCGTCCCCCCGGGCAGCCCCGGGCCCCTGCCCTATGTCCCGCAAGGCAAGCGAGAATGTGGAGTACACGCTGCGGAGCCTGAGCAGCCTGATGGGCGAGCGGCGCAGGAAGCAGCCGGAGCCGGACGCGGCGAGCGCGGCCGGGGAGTGCAGCCTCCTGGCTGCCGCCGAATCGAGCACCAGCCTGCAGAGCGCGGGCGCGGGCGGCGGCGGCGTCGGGGACCTGGAGCGCGCGGCGCGGCGGCAGTTCCAGCAGGACGAGACCCCCGCCTTCGTGTACGTGGTGGCCGTCTTCTCCGCGCTGGGCGGCTTCCTGTTTGGCTATGACACCGGGGTGGTGTCAGGGGCCATGCTGCTGCTCAAGCGGCAGCTCAGTCTGGACGCGCTGTGGCAGGAGCTGCTGGTGTCCAGCACGGTGGGGGCGGCTGCCGTCTCGGCGCTGGCCGGAGGCGCCCTCAACGGCGTCTTCGGCCGCCGCGCTGCCATCCTCCTGGCCAGTGCCCTCTTCACCGCCGGCTCCGCGGTGCTGGCTGCGGCCAACAACAAGGAGACACTGCTCGCCGGCCGCCTGGTCGTGGGACTCGGCATCGGTGAGTTCGGGCTCCGTGAAGGGCGCCCGGGATCCCATTGTCACCGCCCTTGACCCTGGGTGTTGCGTGCCTCTTGCCCATCGGGGTCCCCGTCTGGTCTCCCAGGGTCAGAGAATCCTCCACTTCTCTGGCCTCCAGAGCCCATCTGTTTGTTGGTCCAGCCTCCAAGGCTCTCCCGGGAGGTGGGAGGGTCGGGGGGGAGGGGGTGTCACTCTAGTCTCCCTCGAGCGCACGTGGAATCTTTGATAGGCCACGGACCAGTCAGTCCAAGTGGTTGTTGCCTCTCAGCACTTCCAGAAACCTAGCTGAGCACCAGCTCTTTCCTTGATCCAGCCTAACCTGATGCTGCTTCTTGAGCTTACGAGGGTCTCTGCTTTCCTGCACTGTCCCACCTTGCCTCTCCACTGCTAGCCCCTTTCGTTTTCTGGGGCTCCCAGCCTGGAACCTAGACCATCGTCAAGTTACAGTGAGATAATATTTAGAGTTAAGTAATTCTGGACTCTGAAAGGTTTATTAGCGACCCCTGCCCTCTTTGCTTATCTAGCATTTGTCTTTAGATGGCATCTCCTTTTGCTTTTATGCTTTTTCTATTGCCTTTCAGCTTTCATTCTTTTCCCAAGTAAATTCCATTCTCCTCTGTTTTTCCAACTTTTTCATTTGAATCCTTTTTTATCCATTCTCCTCTTTGTTTTTCCTCTCCTGCTTTCCAGTTGGGAACCAAATTATCTATTAAAGGTCATATTCACTTCCTTAATTCATTTAGGAGCTACTCCCCCTGTGGATAAATGCCCCGCAAGATAAATGTTTGGAATTTACTTCAAAAATGAAGGCATTAAGGTTCTCCTGGCGTTGAATTTTTTTCACCCTGGTTGCTGAGCAGGGGAGGTACAATTGGCAAGTTTTTGGCAGAGGGAAGCTATTTGGAATGTGCTCTGTATTATTAGAAAGCACTTTTGAGGGAAAGTGGGGGGCTGTGACTTAAATCTCACTAGTAATTTTTCTAAGACACACCGCTGATGCTTTTTTAATGTTTCGTTTCATAATTCAGTTTTTTGTTTCCCTTAGGGTGCTGTTGAAGTATTTCTTCCCTATGGCTGGGGCTTGATGAAAGCGCTTTAAACCTGGGGCTGCTGCTGATCTGTGTATTCACCACTTGTTTGATGTTTGTGCTTTTCACCCTTTCTCTGTGGGTTCTGAAGGGAAGCAAAGGCCATATATTCAACTCCACATGCGGGAACCATGAGCCTAAAACCCAGCTCACTGCACTTTATATTCAAAGTTTGTCAGTAGTGACCTTCCTTTTGCTGTTTATTGTACTGTTAATTAGCAAAGGTAGGGCAAAGCTCTCCGTAACATATTAAGTTGGCACAAAAATATCCAAAGTGACCAAAAAATCCAGCTGAAATGAAACCTATTTGTGTGGAAACTACTTGGGCCTTCAGGACCCTTCAACAAATAACCTGCTGTTTAAGTGACCACGATTCTTTTCTCAGCATTGTCTGCTTGGGACATCTGGACCTTTTTTGTTGCTTCTGACATAGAAATAACATCATTTTAGGTAGCAAGAATTGTTCTGTCAACCTCAATCTTTTCTGTAATTTTGAAATTGAATCATGCTTTGCAGAGCTGTCTAAATGAAGCTTCCTAGTGTTTTGCTATGGCAGGTATTGGTTAAAATCTTGGGTATTATGTTTACTCTTTTTATCTGACCTGCGAATTGAGCCCTGTTCTGTGTAAGGTCCCCTTCCAGATGTTGTGAGCTGAATAGTGAGGAGAATGTATTATACTTTAGTAAATGTAGCAAGCTGGGGCAAAAGCAACGTAGAACTTGCTAAGCTTTATAAGATAGGTTATCAGAGATGGCTGATGAATTCAGAGGGGGTACAGTTATCTCCAACAGAGGGAAGCCAGAAGCTCTTACCAATGGAAATGGTATGTTGACATGTCAGTATTTTAACAGAAACGAGGAAAGGACGTTCTAAGCAAGGGGCAAAATGGGTAAAGGAAGGAAAGCATAGGGCATACTTGGGGAATAGGTGGAAGCAGCAATAGAGGACAAAGCAGGAGATCAGATTGGAAGTGTTGGTGTGCAAGAGCTGTGGAGGCCTCTCTGTCTTGCAGCCTCATTCTGTGGTCTCTGGGCTGGTTGGTTCAATAGAGAAGCCCAGTTTAGATATGTTCTCCATTCAGTTCTGGTGTGGCCCATCTCACTTCCAGAAACATACCTCTCAGAATAGAAGCCCTGAGGCAGTTTCGTAAAAGCCCTCTTCATTTACAAAATGAAGAATGTTTTAAGATCATAAACAGGCTTTGAAATAGGCCGCATTCAAAACAAAACAGTAATGAAATAAATCCACTTCAAATTAGGATTAAAATTAGGATCTATGCAAAGCATGTAATTATACACATAAAATCATTAAAACTTACAAAGAAAATCACTTTTTTTTAAGCTACAAGGAAATGGGTTCCTAACATGAGCATTTTTTGAGGGACATTAAATCAGTTTGCTTGTTTGGTACACAATCTGGGTTAATTTTATGCCATTGTTTTTTAAGTAGTTAAATTTTATGTGTAGTCAGGGATTTGTTGTTTTGTCCTTATGATATTTAGGAAATGTTGATGAATAACAAAATGTGGCTTTTGATACCTTTTTCAGACAAGTTTGCTCTAAGAACTTCTTTCCTCCACACGTTTACCTGTGGTAAAATATACGGCCCATGTGGGTCAAGGATTTCTGCTCATTTTGTTCACTGATATATTCCTGCCACATAGGAGATACTTGTTGAATAAATGAATGGTGAGCAAAAACGAAAAAAAAAAATCCAAATTCCATTGCTGGTCGGGTAGCACTTTAAGGTAGGATTGTTCTTTTCAAACCACAAAAATAGTGCATTATCAAAATATTTGAAAGGGCATCTAAAGGTTTTGGTTGTAATAGTTTAATGAAATCATTATCTATTCAACACTTGCTAATTAAGCTTCCATTATGGATCCTGTCAGATATGGGGCAGGCAGTAATTAGATAAAAATCCCACCCTGGAGGTGTTCATTTTATAATGGAGTAGAAAGATACATAAACAAGCAATTAAAAGAGACATTTCTCTGTAGTGCCAGATGACACACAGAAGAGTAAGTGGTCAGTTGATTCTTTCAGGGAAAAAAATAGAACACAGGATTGAGGAAAGTTCTACAGTGGGATATTCAAAGTAGGGTTTGAAGAGTGAGTAGGTGTTCAGCAGATGATGTAGATGTAGCCAGAAAAGTGCTTATTTAGTGCTTTAGTATGTTCGAGACCTGGTGGAGTACTTTACACATATTACCTCATTTAATCTTCCTGAGTCTGAGGAATGGGTCTCCTTTTGTTGGGTGTGGAAACAGTTAAATGGCAAGGTCACTGATTACAGAGACAGGATTAAAAAAAAAAAACAAACAACCTTGAGTCTTTTGCTCTGTTACCCTACTGGGCATTTAAGGTGGAGTTAATAGCTGGTGTAAAGGCACAGAAAAATCAAATTAGTATTTGAAGCATAGATGAGTGAGGGTGGTGATGAGGTGGTCATGAGACTGGAATGTTTTGGGGGGATTAGGCTGAATATGGTTTATTTGGAGAGCTTTTAGAGGTTTTTAACAGTAAATAATGTAATCAGATTTAACATCTCTTGAATCTGAGATGTGAGGGTTTTTGTTTTCCCATTATACTTTTAAGCTCTTTTACCTTCTTTCTTAAGTCTTCTCATGTCTTTGAAATTTTGGGTATTAGCAATCATTTGCTGAGATGGCTACTACAGGATGGGTAAAGCATAGCATGTGACCGTGAATTACTGATATGGAAGGAGTCAGTGGACCCTTCAGTAGAAACCTTTGACAAAGGCGAAGATAGCAAGGAGTAGAGTGTAGTTATTAATGGGTATTAAATGAATTGTATAGTAAAAGACCTTAAGTATCAGAAGTCAGGGATATGTGTATTTGTTTTGATTTAAGGGTTCTGTTTTCTTGACTGGTTGTAAAAAAAATACTGCGTGCCTGTTTTAAATATGGCATTATTTTGGGTTTTCTTTTCTTTTTTTTTTATTGGTTCACCAGAGTCATCTTTGGTTCCTCTAGTTTATTTTTCTCTTCCACTTGAGTCCTGACACTAGACTTTCTCCATTGTCGCTGCCTGCTACCATGACCATCTGAACTTTTTAAACGTGAAAAGTCGAATTTCAAATAGGACATACGTTTTCCATCCCAGAAATGATTGTATTCTAACAGGGTTAATCTTTTTTTTTTTTTTTTTTTTTGTCTGAGATGGAACTTCACTCTTGTCGCCCAGGCTGGAGCACGGTGGCGAGATCTCGGCTCACTGCAACCCCCACCTCCCAGGTTCAAGCGATTCTCCTGCCTCAGCCTCCTGAGTAGCTGGGATTACAGGCGCCTGCCCACCACACCCAGCTAATTTTTGTATTTTTGGTAGAGACAGGGTTTCACCATGTTGGCCAAGCTGGTCTCGAACTCCTGATCTCAGGTGATCTGCCTGCTTCGGCCTTCCAAAGTGCTGGGATTACAGGTGTGAGCCACCATGCCCGGCCCAGGGTTAATCTTATTTTGTATGTTCTTTACACACAATCCCATTTTCAGGTGTTTGTTTAGCAGTATTGTACCTATAATCAAGGTTTTGAAGTGTGGTTAGTTACAACAGGATTGAAGAATATGAGTTTGCTCATTTGCTTTATTTATTTTCTATCATTGTGTATCTCCCATGCATAACACAAAAGAAATTGTCTAGAAAACACAAAGTACAAGAGCATAGTACTGTTAACACTATTAGCATGTACACAGTCAGTGAAAAAGCATACCCATTAGCCCTTTCTCCCTGGTGTTGGCATTTATTCTACTGCTTATTATAAGTGGTGATTTAGGGCCTGTGTAGGGAATATCAAGAAATCTCTAAATTTGATAGTCACCAGTATTCAAAACCTTTCCTGAGAATTGACATACTAATTTATACAGCACGGGATTCGTTGAATTAATCTTAGATTTACATCAGTTTCTCCTGTGTCAGCCTCTTTCCGGACTCCCTCTACTTGAACACAATTTGTAGCTGTAAATTGCAGCTTGTAATTAGTATATTATGGCCTGTTGAGTAATACTTTTAAAAATACCACATTTTTTTTCAAACAGCACTTTGAATTCTTCCTCAGTGCAAATGAAATGTAAAATCTTGTTTGATCAAAAAAATGCAATGTTGAGATCAATGTCAACAAAGAATGTCATTTAAGGTAAGCATAGTTGGGCAGAAGCTCCTAATTTTCAAATAGTTAATCAGCTAAAATACAGTTTTGGGGGGAGGTGCTCAAATTTTTTTTTTTTCCACTACTCCCCACTTTCTTTCTTTTTGGTTGTTTTTGAAGGCAGGAATTCTGTATTGGATTTATGCTTCCTACTGGTGTGAAACTGACACATAAAGCCTCCTTTGACTTCTTGTATTTCCTTGTTTTATACACATTAACAGCTTTGTTCCCTCCCCTTTTCTGTCTGGCAGCCTAGGGACTGACACTGCAGTTATAGTGAGGATTATGATCTAGTTGTGTTTGCCTAGTAGTATAGCAACACCCTCTTCAAGTGAGTTGTCAGTAAGATAACGTAAGTCTGTTAACGTGAGTTATGTGAAATTGTTCACGTGACTTCCTTGGAAAACATTGTGCTTTTTCATTCATCCATTTTGCCCTCTTATGGATTATAAACTTAAAGTAAGAACACACTCAAAGTTAACTGACTTCACACTAACATCTTTTTGAACACCTTTAATGATGTAGAAACTGCTAAGAGAACTGAAATAGCAAGCAGTCGTTGCCATCTTTACCCAAAATCACCTGAGTCTAATTTTCTTTTTCTCATATTGTACTTGGCTCCTTTGTACATCTTTCTTGTCTACACCTTTTTCCATTTCTTTACCTTTCTTTTTCCTGTGACCCATCAGAGTAATAAATAGTAGCAACACTTCTTATAGCACCTATTTCTAATAGTATCAAAACTTCCATTGTCAGGAGGAAAATTCATACTCACCAGAAAAACCTCAAACTTTTCCCACATGTAAAATTTAATTTCTCTGGTTGTAGAAAGAGAGAAAAAAGTTTTACGGGTACTTCTAAACTCAAGTTGAGAGTACTACATGCTTTCTAGTTAGGCCTTTTATTAAAGGCCACCATTTGAAATGGTGCGGTCTGCAGCATGTGTCCAAGGCCACGTGGCAGGAGCATCGTTTCACAGCAGGGCCAAGCACCGTGACAGCTGGTCACCAGCGAGCAATGGCACCAGTGTTCTTCTGATTTTAGCGCCACCCTGCCGCTGCACTGGGAGGAGTCTAGGCAGTCCATCCTCTTGGCAGGGTGTGGATTGGCCATCAGCTTAGCGGCCAACACCCTGGACGTAGTACTTAAGACTTGTTGAATGCTTAACTTCTAAACATTTTGCACATGGCTAATTCACATAGTCTTCATAATAACCCAGGGGGATAATACGGTTACCTTTATTTTAAGATAAGGATATTTAGGCAGAAAGAGTTGAAGTAACTTTCTCATGATCACAAAGCTACTGGGTGGGGCCAGAGTTCAAACCCAAGAGGTCTGGCTTCCCAGCCTGTGCTCAACCAGTCTGTGACACTCACTCACTCACTCACTCCTCCCTGAAACTAGCATAATTGTTCTTTACCATGATATGTCATGTGGACATTACTTTTGTTTGTTTTAGTATAGATTTATTTTTTTATTGTGGTAAAGAACACATAACATTTATACTCTTAACCCATTTTAAGGTGTACAGTTCAGTATTGTTAGGTATATTCACATTGTTGCACAACACATCTCTAGAACATTTTCATCTTGCAAAACTGAAACACTGTGTCTATTAAACACAAATTCCCCAGCCTCTCTTCCCTATCCCTTGGCAACCCACCTTTCTACCTTCTGTTTCTATGATTTTTACTGCTTTGGATACTTCACGTAAGTGGAATCATGCAGTATTTGTCCTTTGTTGGCTTACTTCACTTGAGGTTCATCATGGTGTAGCATATGATAGAGTTTCCCTCTTTTTAAAGGCTGCATAATATTCCATTGTGTATATGTGTGTGTATATATATACACACCTATATATACACACACATATAAAAATAAATACACATATATGCATATATACATATATATACACATATATACATATATACACATATATACATATATACATACATATACACATATATAGGGCATTTAATCTATCCATTCGTCTGTTGATGGACCTTTGAGTTGCCTCTCCCTCTTGGCTGTTGTGGATAATGCTGCAATGAAGATGGGAGTGCATACATCTCTTTGAGGTCCTTCTTTGAATTATTTTGGATATATACCCAGAATTGAGATTGCTGGACCATGTAGTAGTTCTATTTCTAATTTTTTGAGGAACTTCTATCCCATTTTCCATAGTGGCTGCATTTTACATTGCTACCAGCAGTATACAGGGTTCCAATTTCTCAATATTCCCACCAATATTTGTTGTTTTCTTTTCTTTTGACAGTGGCCATCCTAATGGATATGAAGTGATATGGTGGTTTGGATTTACATTTCTCTTATGATTAGTGATGTGGAACATTTTTTCATAGGCTTGTTGGCCACTTGTACATTTGTATATCTTCTTTGGAAAATTGTTTATTGCATTTTCACGTCCCTGACCTATTTTTAATTGGTTTATTGCAGTTGCTATTGAGTTGTAGAAGTTCCTTATGTATTCTGAATATTAACCCCCTATCAGATATATGATTTGCAAATGTTTTCTTTCATTCCATTGGTTGCTTTTTCACTGTTTATTGTGTCTTTTGATGTACAGTTTTTAAGTTTGATGTAGTCCTATTTGTTTTTGCTAAACACACACAAAACTAAAACTGTTGGAGTCATTTGTCATGCCCCTTGAGAGTAAGCTTTTTGGAAGTTCTAATAAAATACTAGATTTTACTTCTAGGAGTATGTCATTTTGTTCCCTAGAATACATTCTTTGTGAAAATATATTATCTTCATTTCCTTTGATATAATGCTTTTTAGCAGCTTAACAGAGGCATTATAAAAAGTAGGCTCTAAAACAAAGCTCATTCTTTATGCCTATAGGTGTATATGTTTGCATTCACCTCAGTAAGTAGGAACATTGGTATTTTCCTTAGTTTAAGTATGAATTAAAGGAAGTGTAGAGAAATTAGGGAAATTAGCACTGTTAGTAACAGTGCTGAGATTTAAATCTGATCAAGAACCAGTGTGCACCCCACCTTTCTATTATATGATAAATCCAGTTTTTGATTGTGAAAGCGAAATATGGTCACTATAATGTTTCGTAAATTAGTATTAGTATTTAATGTGCTAGCAATGAAAATCCCAAGATGATACTTTCTAGAATTTCACAAAATGATTGTAATCAGATTGAGGGAACAGTAGTAAGACAGTAGTTATAGACAGAAGAAATTAATGCAAAGAAATAATATATATATAATGTATAGGGTATACTGTATATATTATTAAAACCAGTATAGGATGAATGGAACAGAATCAGAATTCCAGTGATAGATCCAACTGTTTGGAAGAGTTTAGTATTGAGCAAATAAGAGGGAAAAGAACGAAGTAACTGAGAAGAGGAAATAGGAATATGAATTTAAAATAATGTAAATGAAATTTAGGTCTCATCTTCTCTAGTATATTGGTTTAAGAGTCTCTAATTTTTTTTGTTTTTTTTCTTATCTATATTGATGACATCTTTTATTATAATTTTTAAAACCTCAAAGCAGAGATTTTAAAAGCAAGGCAACAGATTGGAAAAATATTATGGTAAATTTATTTACTTAAAAGAAAATATATTTATCCTCAAATTATACTGAATAGACTGTATACAACAAGAAAAATACAGTTAGTAAATAGACTCTTGGGAAAGTGTTAAACCTTGTTACTAATTACAGGTGAAAATTAAAAGAACACGATACTTACTAAATTAGCAAATTAAAAACTCAGGGCTGGCCGGGTGCGGTGGCTCATGCCTGTAATCCCAGCACTTTGGGAGGCTGAGGCGGGTGGATTATGAGGTCAGGAGATCGAGACCATCCTGGCTAACATGGTGAAACCCCATCTCTACTAAAAAGTACAAAAAAAAAAAAAAATTAGCCAGGCGTGGTGGCGGGCTACTCAGGAGGCTGAGGCAGGAGAATGGCATGAACTTGGGAGGTGGAGCTTGCAGTGAGCTGAGATCGTGCCACTGCACTCCAGCCTGGGCGACAGAGCGAGACTCCGTCTCAAGAAAAAAACAAACAAACAGAAAAACCCCAAAAAACTAAGCAAAACTCAGGCTAAGTTGTTCCCTAGGAAAATATGATTTTCTGCTTGTAAAATAAATTGCAATAATTTTCTATAGAGAATATTCTAGATAAAAAGCTGACATGTTTAACATGCTTCATTCATTTTTCTTCATTCAACAAGTTTATTTTGAATTACTAATATGTATTATATACTGTGCTCTTGCAGTTCATTTGTAAAGTTGCTAATAATTCTTTGATCTGGAAATTTCACTTGAGGGATTGTAATATAAGGAAATAAAGAAAAACTCATTTTGTTTAAAAGTATTTATAGATATGCAATATGTAATTTTAAAAAGCTAGGAGGAACCTCCAAGTGCCTAGTAATTGGGAAATGATTAGTTAGACCACATCACATTGACATTAAACACAAAAATGTGTAGACCTTAGATACACATATCCTGCAAATATTAAGCCCAAAGAATAGAACCTACTTGTATGGACCTATTGATTGCAACTACCTAAAAAATTACAGCTGGACATAGAGTTTGGAAGAAGGAATAAAGGTGTATGTTTAGTTTACATATAGCACAGGGCCTTTTTTACATTTTGTTTTTTTACTCTTCCCTTTAGATCATTATTTTACTTCACGCAGATTTTTGTTTTAAAAGGCACAGACACACACATAACAAAACACTGTGGCAAGATACTTTTTTCCAAATTAGATTTTACTTCTTATTCTATGGAAGGACATTTTTAGGAAATAATGACAAAAATGTTGCAATCTAATCGTATAATAGTGGTGTGGGTGTATTTTTTCCCCCAGATTTTTAACTCATTGCATGAATTAGCAAGGGGTCATGATACATGAAGTACATTTCTGGGATCTTACTATTGTATGTATCTCAGGAAAGTGTCTTGCTTACTTTATGGCTGAGAATGAGAGCTTCTATGGGCTCCCATTCCACACTCCCTCCTCTCTTTTGGGTTTCCTCAGCTGTTCCTGCCTGGGCCTTGCACAGATGCGTCTTCTTCCTGTTTCTATAGATGAACTGGCTAAGGCCTCTCCCTGTCTCCTATTCAAAGCTGTCATTCCAGCTCTTTCTCTTTTGTCTCATAAAATTTCTTCTTCTACTGGGTTATTCCCATAAGCATGGACACATGCTGTAATTTTTGCAGTCTTAAAAATTTCTGTTTCTGCCCCACTTTATCTTTCAGTTACTATCCTATTTGTCTCCTTTATTTTACATAAAACAGTTGCCTATATTCCTTCTCTGTAGTTCCTCTCTTCCCTTTTTTTCTGAACCCTATCCAGACAGGCTCTCATCCTTACCACTCCACTGGCATTGCTCTTGTCAACTTTACTGTGCCCTCTGTGTTGGTCAGTGCAAGGACTGTCTTCAGTCCTACTTGTCCTACCAAAGGCATTTGACACAAGTAAATCATGTCTTTATGGGCCATTTTCTTTGGCTTTTGGACACCATATTCTCCCAGCTTTTTCTGTAGGCTGCTCTTTCCCCCATCTCCTTTGCAGATTCCTCTTCATCTCCCAGACCTCTTAATTTGGGCCAGCCTCAGAGCTCTCCTCTTCTCTACATTTACTCCTTTGGGGATCTCATCTTGTCTCATGGCTTGGAATACCTTCTGTGTTGCAGAGAACTCCCAAATCTAGATTTCAGCCCAGACCTGTCTCCTGATCTCCAGATGCTTGCACCCGACTTCCCTGTTTTGTCCACCATCTCCTGCTTAGCAGGTCAGAGCATTCCTCCTGGGGCTTGCACCAAAAGCCTTGGAGTTGTCCTTGACTACCTCATGTGCCCCTTATCCAGTCGGCTAGGAAATCCTTTGAATCTAGGCCCTAATTATAACTGAAATCTGTTTCTTATCACTTCCACTACAATCACCCTGATCCCAAATGCCACCCATCTCTCACTTGGAGTATTTCAAGAGTCTGCTACGTGTTCACCCTGCCTTTTTCTTGACCCCTCTGCTTTCTTTTTATACACATGAGAGCCAGAATGATTCATTTAAAATATAAATCAGACTATGCCACTTCTCTGCCCAAAGCCCCTGATTAGCTCCCCACCTCAGAGTAAAAGCTAGTGGTCTGCAGCACCCCATGGGATCTTTCCCCATCCCCACTTCTTCTTTGACTTGATTTCCTACTGCTTTTCCTTCCCTCCTTTTCCAGCTGACCCCGCCTCTAGGAACACAATAGACATCCTTCCAGGCCTTTTTATGGGCGGTTTCCTCTGCTGGGAAGCCTCTGTCCAGATTCCTGGAGCACTCTTTCCCTTTCTCTCTTGTGTTTCCTCAAGCATCTCTTCTTAGCGGGGTCTTCCTTGATCATTCGGCTTAAAGTTGCAGCTCCCACCACCAGTTTTCCCTGCTTTATTTTTCTCTATAGCAGTTTCCACTAGCCAAAACACTTAATGGTTGTGTTACTTACTGATTGTTTTCTCTCCACTAGAGTGTAATCTCCATGAAGGCAGATTTTAATTTTTCTGTTTTGTTTATTGCTGTTCCACCATTGAATAGTGTAGTGCCTGGTACACAGCAGGCATCTAGTAAATATTTAATCTATAGATAACAACTAAAACAGTATAATCCTAAGGAATAATTTTGAGCTGAGATTGGATCAAGGATGTTGTAGGAAATTTGTGTAGTGGATGGAAGTAATTAAATGTTCTCTAGGGTTGCTTCTGACACTACTCTATGGTTTCAAACTTTTTAAAGTGGTTGGGAGAAAATAGGTATTATTTTTAACTTCAATTAATACTTTGAAGTCTAACATTGTTTTCAGTACCTGCAATGAAATGAGTCTCTCCATGTATCTAGGGAACCTAAACAAACAAAAGTTGATTTGTGTCTGAAAAATGATCTGACAGACTCTCAAGGATGAACTTGGAGTAATTACACTTAGATGTGACAGTGGAATCAACAGAAATGCAAACTTATTACGTGGGATATATCTATTCCACATGTTAATAATGCTCTAATGTCTCCTCTCTTTCCTGGCAGACAGATTTGTGGGAAGAGGGATTACTGATTCACAGACTTGCATCTTCGTGTTTGAACCTGGAATTAAAGCAGGAGTGGAAAGGCATTGGAGTCGTAGTTCACCCAGACTGTAAAGAGGCTTGATCAGTTTTCTCTGACCTTCACATCTTCTGTCTGATGACTCAAGTTTTCAAACTTTAGTGAGTCTTTCTCCTGGAGAATGGAGATACGGAAGTTGAAATCTCCTCTTATTCTCTTCTTAGCAGCCAATCCACGTTTCAGATTCTATAATACATTTCACTAGGTAGCTATTGAGCATCTGTATTGGGCCAGGCACATTGTGGCTTGGGATTCAAAAAATAAGACACATTTTATTTTTCATTATGGTCTGATTATAAATTTAGGGGACAAAAAACATGTGTAAGTGTATAATGATGTGATAAATTTCTAAAGATGGTATTACATATGTGGAATTTAAAAAATAAGTACCATAATCTTGAGGTTGATCTGATCCTTTTAAATCATCCAGATTTAATTCTGGATGGGGTTACGTTTCAAGTGAAGCCAATCTGCAACTCTTCATAGCAAATGGAGTGGCACTCTCACCAGTCCAAATTGTGATAATTAAAACACTGGTCTTAATATTGCATTTTAAGCTTATATTTGAATATGAGTGCTTCAAATAAATGTGGAAAGTTACATTGTCCAACAAAATAATTAAATTATGCTGTGAAGACTTGGCTTGAGCCACATTTCCTGGTTTACTGTTCTAGTTTTTAATCTTACCCCATAAACCCTCTATACTTGTGAAACCATTCTTGCCACCCCAGACAGACCTTATTATACCTCTCTCTATGACACCTCTATTACTGCCCATAGTGATACTCATATGTCATTAATACAGACAGTAATAGAAAAATATGTAAGACACAGTCGTGCAGAGGAAGGTTGATGAGGTCTACCTGGAGCTGGCAAGTCAGGTTTCACAAAAACCTAATTCATAGAGTTATTGTATGGATTAATTGATAAACTATTTTCTGTTAAAAGTTAAACGTAATTCCTGCTGCTTATTAGCACATGCTCAGAAAACATTAGCCATTATTGTAGTAATTAATGTGAATTTTTCTTCCCATTTTATCTCTGTTGGAGACAGACATCAACATATTTTGGATTGGTGAACAAAACCAGACTGTCCTGAATTAAGTTTTCCTGGCACATGTGTAATTAAAACCTCTGTAGGACTGTAATTTGCATATTAGGTAGTATGAGTACAAATGAGTTAGTTACCTCATTTCACCTTTATAGTTTCTGGTTAAGGAGAGAAAGACATTTTGAAATTTTCGTAGTTCATAATTTGAACCTTGAAATTTAGGATTGTACAAAAAGAAAGGGAATTTAATGCATCAAATATATGACATGCCATTATTCTTTGTTGCCAGTAGTTGGCCAATTTCAACTTTAATTGAAGTACAGGCTTTTATAATAGTTTGCAAAAACACAGCAAAAAAGTCTAGCAATAAGCTTTTAATTTTAGATTTCCTCCTTATCCTGTAGAATAAAGTTTTAACAATAGTGTCAACATAAGTAAATTATAAAGAATCTAATGACATTCAAGTGAATGAGGATACTCTATTTTTGACCTACTGTACAAATTACAGTGCATAAAGTGGAATTCAAGGATCTTATTTTACACAACATAAAGTTCAGCCATGTGCCACATAATGACATTTCAGTGGAGGATGACTGCGTATAGGATGGTGGTCCCATAAGATTATAATACTGCATTTTTACTGTACCTTTTCTATGTTTAGCCATGTTTATACAAAAATACCATTGTGTTACAGTTGCCTACAGTATTTAGTACAATAACATGCTGTACAGGTTTGTAGCCTAGGAGCAGTAGGCTATAGCATATAGCTTAGGTATGTAGTGGGCCGTACCATTTAGGTTTGTGTAAGGACACTCTATGAAGTTTGCAAAATGTATTCCTGAGAATGTGTCGCTGTGGCTAAGCAATGCATGATTGTATCTGCATGTGCACATCTTTACCAAGAATATCTTACTAAAGATTCTGAGGCAGTGAGTTTTTTACTTCTTCATAGATAATATAAAATAGACAAATCTAAAGGACTTTATTTATTATGAATGAATAGTTCTTGAGGCTGGGGAGGTAAGAACCCTGTTTAAAAAAAGGTTTATAACCTGATTAAGGAAATCATGAATGTTGCAAAAGAAACACATGACTTTGTTACATTTGTTTGGTAATTATGCAGTTATTTATTCATCTGTGCAAGAGATCATTAGAGTCTGGATTATTTTCAAAATTTTAGTTTCTAAATATGACATGCATTTTCAAATAAACATGAATATATATTAAGAATACAGAATTATAGTTATTAATAAGCATTAAAACTTTGCCTATGGATAGCTGCTGCTATGGTTAATAGTTACCTTTTATTTGCTTTAAGTGAACATCTGGCTACTTAATCTAACTCAAAATGATTTATAGACATAAACTCAAAGCCACTGTCAGTAAATTTTTCTTTATTTTTAAGCAGTCATGAAGATAAGATACGCAGAGATAAGCCATATGAGCAAATAGTGCCTTAATTGTTAAAAAGGGAATGAATTCTAGGAATTAAGATGAATAAACATGACTAGTTTCTAGCAAAATTATAAAATATTATTAATGAAGATTTGGAAGCATTTAGAAAAGAGTCTGATGATTACTAGGAACTTTTGTGTGTTCACTAGAAATATGCCTTATTAAACTAATCTCTTTTGTTTTTCCTTTGAAACCATTTCTTGGTGAGTAGATTAGGAAAATTCTGCATATAAAGCATTTGGCATACTCCTCTTTCATTGAATATATTTGAAGAACATTTTCTTTGTGTTAATAAACAAAATAAGTGAGCAAAATAAACTTTAATCTCTGAAATTTGGCCAATAAAAAAAAAGAAGCAAACATGGTTTAGTAGGATGCCTTGTCAGTGTTGAAAAGTGGGCCCAGAAGGTCTCTACTGGGGTGCAATCAAGCGCTCAGTCCTTCAGCTCTGTGCTTGTCAAATCCAGGGAGCCCAGAGCAAGCTAAATGGCTGTTATGCTTGATAACAGAGCTAATATTAAAAATAACTTTAAGATACTGGAATGCTGTTAAAAACTAAGAAAAGTTAAAATTCATAGGAAATGTATTTATAATATGTATATCTCCATATATTTTACATTTTAAATATATTTGCATTATTGCCGTTAATCCACTCTTAGAGCTGACCAACAGTGAGACAGACTCCTTACAGAGAACACTAGGAGAGAGTTTACAAAGTCTATACAGGGAGGCGGTCAGTGTAAGGTGCAGGGTGACCTTTGTTGAGGAGATGAAGAAGTCTTCCTTGTATTCAGAGCCTGACTGAAGGGCTTCTCTAGTCCCGCTTGATTCTAAAATTCTCAAGCTTCTTTATTGATTACAATTGAGAAATGGTTTCATCAAAGCTGCCAGAGAATTTGTCCCCTGAAATGGAATAAATCATCTGAGATCCTCAAGATTGCAAATTACTAAAGAGGAAGACAGTGTCTCTTTTTTTGTAACTTCTATGAGAGTTCAGTAGATGTTGGTTGGCTCACTGACAACACCTGAGTTATTCTATTTGATTACTTTTGGCTTCTGACTTTTACATTATCAAATTCACTTTTCTTGGATATATTTTAGGTCTTTTGTTATGAAATCAAGAACATTATGTTCTTTTTACAGAGAGAGTTTATAAAGTACGGAGATGACCACTCTGAAAGCCATATGCCCCTAGCACCCTCTGAAGCACCTCAGTCCTCTCCTGACTCTTTCAGTGATTCATTCTGCCATTTGCATGATTCCTCTGAAGAAAACCAATTATTTAGTGTTCTTGAGGTGATTGACTTGCAAATAATCTTGTGCTCTTAAAGCACATTTTTGGTAAATTTTCAAATTTCTGAATACTAGAAATTATTTCTTTAGTTATAATTGAGTGAGATCAGATATTCACAGACTAATAGACTCTCAAAACCAGTGGGTGCTGCCTTCATACCACACATTTTACCATGCTAGGATAAACATTCATCTTCAATTTTTTTGTTGTTAAAAAACATACTTCACCAAGGAATTTATTATCCCACTCATTTTATCACATACCTCTTCTGGAGCTTAGGGTCTCAGCCCCTTCCTGTCTCTTCTTTTGTGTCTCCCCTGCTACACCCCTACCACACTTTGGTGTTTTTGAGGTTTCTTAATCTTAAGTAAAGTGTGAATAAAAAGCATTTTTAGAAAGTCTTACCATGTTTATTGATCTGTAACATGCAATATACATACTGTGCTTGCTGTATTAACACAGCTCCAAGACAAGACCCCTAGCTTTTCTACAGCTAGACTAACTCCCCCAAATCCCACTTCTGTAGAGCTTTGGAGCTGCAGCAGCTGTTGAGGTAATGGTTACTTTCCTCAAAAGGTAGCCATTATGATGACTGGCTTCAAAAAGTAAAAAAAAGGTCTTTTGAAAAATTGACAGTTCTCCCCACAAAGAGTTGAGTGACTGGTCAGCTACAATTTCTTCTAACTTGTAATTCCTTCTAATATATGATGTTGAGGTTTTAGAGAGAGCAGTTAAAATAAAGTGGTCTAATTAGACAGTGTTTGCATCATCTTTTTCAGTTTAGATGTTGAGGAAGTGTTCAGATCCTACCAAGCAATTTTTTCTTCTTTTGAGTGAGAACTGTCTATACTTTTGTACTTAGTGTCTTTACCTGTCCCCCTTTTGAGCTTTATGTCTTAAAGAAATGTTATGCCATTTACTCCTTTTAATAGATTAAACTTATTTTCAGGTTATTGAAGAAAACCTGTCTCACAGAATCATAAGACAAACTGTATGAAACTCTTGGAACAGTGCCTGGCACATGGTAGTATACAGTAAATGTTATCTGCTGTTTCATTTTAGTTTTAACATATCTACCATGCACCTGCCTCAATGGAATAGTGTAAAAGGATATTTATACTTACAATCAGTATAAATTATAGTTATTTGTACTTATAATCAGTATAAATTATAGTTATTTGTACTTATAATTAGTACAAATTATTTAATTTATACTAGTGAGTTTTATGAATTTGTACAAATTAACCCCTTCTGAGCCCTAGGTTTCTCAGCTTTATCCACTTCATGGTGGTTTAATGAGTATTAAGTAGTAGTACAGAAGGTTAACTGGTACATGTAACCTCCTGGTAGTGTTGGCTTACTCTGGTCTCTTATGAGGTAAGAGTTCCTTAAGGACAGGGACCATGTTTTTGTGTTTATCCCAGGATCTATCATAGCCTCTGGCACATAGTAGATATTTATTTAGTAAATGCTTGTGGGTTACATAAATGGGAGCATTGGGAAGGAGAATGAACAGAAGAATGTGTAGAAATTTTTCTATTGTAGGTAACACTCTTCCAGGAGAAAAAGGTTATTTGAAAGCCACAGGGGTCTTAAAAACTCAGTTTTTTCATTTAAAGCTTAAAGCGTTTTGATATTTACTTCTAAAGTATTACAACTAATATGACCATGACTGATGAATGGAAGAAACACAGAGGGGTATAGACTGGAAGAGAAAGGAGAGAGGGAGAGAAAGACTAAGAGATTTAGTGAGTACTATGAAAATGTTAAACTCTAAAGTTACACTCTTGAAAGTAGCTTCAAGAGTCTTAGCTCAATTATCAGGGGCCTTTGGAAAGCCAAATAGGTGATTACCTTTATTTTAAAAATTACTTGCTTTTAAGACTTTGAAGGATCCTTTCTGAATGGAAGATACAGCCAAAGGTGGTAGTGAGAGGTATGGAAGATTGAGGAGGATGTGTGTGGTTGTGTCTTCAGTAACCAGAGCAAACGGCCTGAGATTAGAGGAAATCAATCTGAGGACTGGGTACATTTTGTCCACTTTCACTGTCAGAGCTACCAAGCAATTGGGAGGTAAGGTTGTAGAGTTGGTTTTGATGTCCTGTCTCAAGACCTAATTATGCCTCTTGGGATTAGGTGAGGAAAATATGTGTCCTGGGACTGGCCGTTGGTAACTGCATTAGAGAAAATGAGCTTGACAGGTCTCCCACAATTTGGAGATTTCTCCAGAAACATACTGCAGTATTAGGTCCAGGGAACAATCCTGATCTGCCCTTGGTTTAGAGGCAACACATAATCGCACTACCTATCAGTTTAGTCCTGACGCCTATGAATGCCCAGTTCTTCCTTGTCATTCAGCTTGTGGATAGGAGACAACAATGCATGTCTTGTTTCTTCTCGTATTTGTAACTGATTTGCTTTTAAGACTGTCTTGTCTGAATTGCCTTCTGCTGTTGGTGTAATAAGAAAAAGCATGTGGTGTATTTAACCAATGGGGGAAAATATTTCTTATATATAGAGATGAAATAGACATGTAGCTAGAGAATAGGCGAGAATAGACATGTAGCTTGTTTGATGGCCCATGTCATTTCTCAGATTTACTGCTGTGTTTTTCTTAACAGCTGGTTACAAAAACAAGTGGCACTAAAGGAAAAGACCATATTTTCTTTTATCATGGCCACAGGTGTTTATTTTTATTTATTTTTATGAGTATATAAAATGAAAAGTATTCAGATTAACCGGTTATTCAGAGAGGTGATATCAGGTGGGGAGTAGTGGGATTAAAAAAAAATACCCTCCCATGCCACCTGCATTCTGATTGCCAATGCATCCGTGATTGGTGCCTTGCTCAGCATCTCCCAGGTGCCATCACTTCAGAAGTTTCCCAGATTTTGCTCTTTCTTAGAAGGCAGCAGGGAGGGCCAGGCACGATGGCTCACACCTGTAATCCCAGCACTTTGGGAGGCCGAGGCCGGTGGATCACGAGGTCAGGAGTTCAAGACCAGCCTGACTAATATGGTGAAACCCTGTCGCTACTAAAAATACAAAAATTAGCTGGGCATGGTGGCATGTGCCTTTAATCCCAGCTACTTGGTGGAGGTTGCAGTGAGCTGGGATTGTGCCACTGCACTCTAGGCTGGGTGACAGAGCGAGACTCTGTCTCAAAAAAAAAAAGAAGATGGGAGTAGCAGAAGGAATGCGGGACGTGAAATTGGAAATCCTGGGTCCTGCTTTCAAATCTTTTATGTAAATATGTGATTTTAGATAAGTCACTTAATGCTTGAGCTTGCTTTCTCTTCTGTAAAGTACAAGTTATATGTAAAGTTCCTTCTAACATAGCCATTTCATTGGCCAGATAAGAAAGAAAAAGGAGTACTGTCATGATCTGCCACCTACTTAGGCCCCTTCTGCAATGTGAAATGGACACTGTGAGTATAAAAACATACTCAAAAGTATATTTTTTAATTCTCTCACTCAACAGTCAACACAAAAGACTTCTGTGACCAAATGTGGGGGATTTCTCCCCACTAACAAGCAATCAGTTTTGCAGCAGACACCAGCTGGATGTCCTCTAATTCAGTTCTCACACTGTCACCCTAGAAATAGCGTCTGATTCCACAGGTTGAGGGCACAGTCCTCAAGACCTGCCACCACCCCCAATGCCAACAGCCTTCAGACACCGGTTGCAAATTTGGGTCTCTGGAACTTTGACCAACCAACTACTTCAAGTTGGAGTTTTTACAACACCTTTTTTGGGTTATATTAATTTTCTAGGGTGGTTCACAGAAATCAGAAAACAGTTTGGTTTACTGGTTTATTTCAAAGGATACAAACAGATAAAGAGATACATAGGGCAAGACTTGGAAGGGTCCTGAGCACAGGAGATTTTGTCCCTGTGGAGGTGGAGTCCTCCACTGTTGGTACATGGATGAGTTTTTGTTCCCTTCCTGTCAACCTCCATATGTTCATCTGTCGAGAAGTGCTCTGAACTCAGCCCTTTTCACCTTTTAAAGAAGTGTCATAATCAATTATATCATTACCTAGGCATAATTGATTAAACCATTGGCGACTGGTTACCAACTTAACCTTCAGCTTCTCTCCCCTTGTAGGTTGGGGGTCCCAACCATCTAATCCTGCCTTGGTTTTTCCAGTGACCAACCCTTATCCTGAAGCTGCCTAGGGGCTACCAGTCATCTGTCAACTTACTAGCATACAAAAAGACATCACTTTGCAGAGTCTAAGGATTTTAGGAGTTGTATGCCATGAAACAAGGGTGGAAGACCTAATAAATATTTCACACTATCACAGACAGCAAGTGGAGCATCAGGCCTTAAGAGGAGTCCTCAATCCTAGTCTCATACATTTACAAAATGCTAAATACATAACATGAATTCATTTAAAAAAAAATGAAGCTGTAAGCCCAGTGCTGCCTTATAGTATAATTTTTTACATTTACCCTAAAAACATTTTAACTTTCAATAGAATGCTCCATTGGATTTGGTGCTCAGTCCTGGACAACTCTTCATTTCCAGTGACCTGACTTAGGTTGAATTTTGTTATTTGAGCCAGCCCCGTGAGTAAGCTTGGCTTGCTGGCTATTTGTGTGTTTCTTGTTATTTAAGACATCTTGCTGAAGTTGAAGAGTGCAGTCTTTGAAAGAGTGCTTTTTAATGGAAAACTGTTGCATTAAAAAGTGGCTTTGTGTTTTTATAGACCACACAATTCTAAGCCAAATGACACAGTTTCAAAATAGCTATTGATGGATAGAACACACAGGTAAGTACTTGAGAGCCTGGTGGCAGAAGTTGGAAGTATTTGTAAGAAGAAAGCACAGCATGAGCCAGATCTAGAGTTTCCTGTTTGATCATTTTTTACAATATCTTAGTATAGATTTGCAGTTACCCTGCCAGATGTGTACTTCATCTTTTATTAGACACATTCAAATATATCAGTTAAAGAGCTTTTGGTTCAGTATCTGATATTCGGAGCATTTATTCTAATATTGCCTTTTACTGCCTCCCAAATCTATACTTGTATTGGTACTGTGTACAGTAAAGGTGAATGCATTTTAAAGTATAATGAATGATACCTGGTGTTGATCGAAATGGGGTAAGTCTTCCACAGCCTGTCTCTCCACTGATTACAACCAAGAACTCTGGAAATAATGCAAAATGCAGCTGAGGATTCTGAAAAGTAAACAACAGCAGGAAGATTGGGTAGGGAAGTCAAAATTTGAAGACCTACTGGACTGGCAGTGAATTTACTGTTTGTATCATCTTTTCTTTCTTAATCTCCTGGCTTTTACCTTTGGAGGGGTGAGTCCCAGGACTGCTCATTGAACACCAATGGCAGAAAAGCCCAACAGAAACCCCCTCCTTCTAGTCAGAAGATTCAGAATAGGGACCCTTGTGAGCCAGAAGATATGGGAGGAGTTCCCCATCCTTTTTTTCCTTTTTCTCCTTGCCCTGCCTTGAGGCCAGCCCAGTTAAAAACCTGCAGTGCTGCAGTGGTGATGGCAGTAGTATAGCACTATGGATGCTGAGATACAGCCCTCTTTCTGTACAAAGGAAATAGAAAAGGGATCCCTGGGGTCTAGAGAGTGTGGGAGGGAATCAGTTATTTTTTCTCTGTAGTTTCCCTTGCTGGTATGCTGCAAGGACAGTCCCAATTATGTGGAACTGAAAAACAGTGTAAGGGATTAAGTTCTAAGAGAAAATCCTGGTTTTATGCATAGCAGATTTGGAAAAGAGGACCCTAGGGGCCAGAGGGGTCAGGGAAGTGGTGGAGAAGAGAGCTGAAAAAGGGGATCTTCTGTTTCTGTGTATAAGCTGAAACAAGTCCTGAGCTCACCCCTAAGCAGCACATGCACAATTCAGACCCAAAGGGGCACAGCAAATGTTTTGAGTACAGAACTGTGACATAAGGTACTACACAGTCCCAGTCTATCTCCTGAGTAATCTGAATAACATAGCTATTGAAAATTGCTATTTAACAAGATGGCTGACTAGATGCAGACAGGAAGAACTTCTCCCACTGAGAAACCAGACCATCAGGAAGAACTGCATACTCCAAACAGATCTTCAGAAAGAAGGTATTGAGAGTAGACAGAAGAAGGATACAGACCCCGGGCTGAAGTGGGGGAGGAAACCCTGCATGGAGTTGCTGAGCACCAGGACTTATTCCTGACCCTGAGCAGCTCCTGGGGAATGGGCGAGTGAAATAGGCTTGGAGTGGCCCACTCTCGTTACAGACCTCTAGTATCTTCACTGCAGGAGACCCCATAACCCCTATGGATATTTGAGCTGGCAGAGACAGAACTCCAGCTTGCATGGATCCCCAGGGGTCTGGCGTGGGAATGGCTGCAGTGGAGCATAGTCATGGGTGCTCATCCTTCAAGGCCCACTGTACTCCTCTAGGTGGCTTTAGCCTTTTTGGCTGCCAGACCTGGACAGAGCATATCTTGCTCATGGGAAGGGGCCTGTCTGATCTGAGTGTCCCCCTATTTGCTGGCCTATCCCAGGGTCCCTGCCTGGCCACACCTGCTTGCAGCATGGCCTTGGTTGCCCAGCTGAGGCACTTGCCGGCAGCTACTGCCATAGCTCTTTTGTTAGAATATCCATCCTCACAGAGAGCTTCTGTAGGAGTTGTAACTGATTACAACTCAAAACTCTGGAAATAATGCAAAATGCAACTGAGGATTCTGAAAAGTAAGCAACAGCAGGCAGATTGGGTAGGGAAGTCAAAATTTGAAGACCAACAGGTATGGCTGAATTTACTGTTTGTATCATCTTTCTTAACCTCCTGGCTTTTAACTTTGTAGGGTTGAGTCACAGGATTGCTCAGTGAACACTATGTGTACATGCCGTGTGCATGCTAACCTCACTACCACACTGTCACTGGTGCACACATGTGCAGGGACCCCTGCTGCCTTGCCGAAGCCCTTTTGCTGGCAGACTGCATTGGAGTGTTACCAGCAGACTGGGAACACCTCAGCCCCTTCAGCACAGCAGGAGCTTAACCTCAAGGGGCCAGAGAAAAAAGGCTGTGGGCCTGGTCCCAGGTCCCCAGGGTTAGAGCACACAGCCTAGGAATGCTAAGCTGAGCCTTGGCCCCCTGCAATCATCCAGACATGAAGCCAATCAATTTATACCCAGCTTATACCACTGTCAAACCCTCAAGGGCATCAAAGAATATAAAAAGCAAAAAGCCCTATATGAAGGACAGCAACTTTAAAGATTAAAGAAACATCATCTCACACAGATGAGAAAGAACCAGTGCAAAACTCTGGCAATTCAAAAAGCCAGAGAGTGTCATCTTACCTCCAAATGACCACATGAGCTCGACAGCAAGGATTCTTGATTGAAATCACTGAAATTATGGCATAGAATACAGAATTTGCATGGCAAATAAGGTCGTCCAGATTTAGGAGAAAGTTGAAACTGAATCCAGGGAATCTAAGGATTCCAATAAAATGATACAGGAACTGAAAGATGAAATAGCCATTTTAAGAAAGAAACTGTTCTTCTAGAGGTGAAAATCTACAAGAATTTCATAATACAGTCAGAAGTATTAAAGCAGAATAGACCAATCTGAGGAAAGAATCTCAGAGCTTGAAGACCAGTTCTTTGAATCAACTCAGTTGGACAAAATAAAAAAAATAAAAATGAACAAAACCTCTGGGAAATAAGGGATTATGTGAAGAGACCAAACCTACAACTCATTTACATTCGAGAAAGACAGAGAGAGCAAGCAACTTGGAAAACGTTTTTGTGGATATTGTCCAGGAAAATTTCCCCAACCTCACTAGAAAGGTCAACATGCAAATTTGGTAAATTCACAGAACCTCAGCAATATACTACAAGATGTCCATCTTGAAGATAGATAGTCATCAGATTCTCCAAAGTCAATGTGAAAGAAAAAATATTAAAGGCAGATCAAAGAGTAGGGGCAGGTCATATACAAAGAGAATCTCATTAGGCTAACAGCAGACCTTTCAGCAGAAATCTTACAAGCCAGAAGAGATTGGGGGGCTTATATTCAGCAGCCTTAAAGAAAAGAAATTTCAACCAAGAATTCCATTTCCAGCCAAACTAAACTTCATAAACAAAGGAGAAATAAAATTTTCTTCAGACAAGCAAACACTAAGGGAATTCATTACCACCACACTTGCTTTACAAGAGATGCTTAAGCAAGTGCTAAAAATGGAAATGAAATACTATTATCTGCCACTATAAAAACACTTAAGTACCTAGCCCACTGACACTATAGAGCAATTATATAATCAAGTCTGCATAACAACCTACTAACAACATGTTGACAGGATCAAATCTTAACATCAATATTAACCTTGAACATTTTAAACAAGGCCAGGTGTTGTGGCTTATGCCTGTAATCCCAACCCTTTGGGAGACTGAGGCAGGTGGATCACCTGAGGTCAGGAGTTCGAGACCAGCTGGGCCAGCATGATGAAACCCCGTCTCTACCAAAAATACAAAAAAATAGCCAGGCATAGTGGCACATGCCTGTAATCCCAGCTACTCAGGAGGCTAAGGCAGGAGAATTGCTTGAACCTGGGAGGCAGAGGTTGCAGTGAGCTGAGATGGCACCACTGCACTCCAGTCTGGGTGACAGAGCAAGGCCCCCTCTCAAAAACAAAACAAAACCTTGAACATAAACAGGATAAATGCCCACTTTGAAGGCAGAGTGTGACGAGTTGCATAAAGAAGAAGACCCAACTGTATGCTACCTTCAGGAGACCATCTGAAATGCAAACCCACTCATAGGCTCAAAGTAAAGGGATGGAGAAAGATCTATCAAGCAAACAGAGCAAGAGTTGCTATTCTTATTTAGAAAAAAATAGACTTTAAGCCATCAATGGTCAAAAAGGACAAAGAACCCAGGTGCGGTGGCTCACACCGGTAATCCCAGCACTTTGGGAGGCCAAGGTGGGCAGATCACCTGAGGTCAGAAGTTCAAGACCAGCCTGGCCAACATGGTGAAACCCTGTCTCTACTAAGAATGCAAAAAATTAGCGAGGTGTGGTGGTGTACAGCTGTACCAGCTACTTGGGAGGCTGAGGCATGGTAATCACTTGAACCTGGGAGATGGAGGTTGTAGTGAGCTGAGATTGTGCCACTGCACTCCAGCTGGGTGGCACAGAGTGAGACTCCATCTCAAAAAAATAAAAAGGACAAAGAAGGACATTACATAATGATAAATGGTTCAACTAAATAAACAGTCTTAACTATCTTAAGTATATTTGCACCCAACACTGGTGTGCTTAGATCAATAAAACAAGTTTGTAAGAGACCTATGAAGAGACTTAGATAACCACACAATAATAATGGGAGACTTCAACATGTCACTGACAGTGTTAGATCATCGAGGCAGGAAAGAAACAGATACTAGGGACCTAAACTTGACACTTAACCACATGGATCTAAAAGACATCTATACAATATGCCACCCAACAACAACAGAATGTACATTCTTCTCACCTGCACATGGCACATACTCTAACATTGACCACACATTTGGCCATAAAGCAATTCTCAACAAAAACAAACACAAAACCCTACCAACCAGTCTTTCAGACCTCAGTGCAATAAAAATAGAAATCAATACCAAGAAGATCCCCCAAACTGTACAATTACTTGGAAATTAACCTGTCCCTGAATGACTTTTGTGTAGAGTGAAATTAAGGTACAAATCAATAAGTTATTTGAAATTAATGGAAACAGATACAACTCACCTGAATCTTTGGGATGCAGCTAAAGCAGTGGTAAGAGGAAAGTTTATAGTGCTAAATGCTTACATCAAGTTAGAGCTCAGATTAACAACCCAGCATCACACCTAGAGGAACTAGAAATACAAGAGGGAGCCAACCCTAAAGCTAGCAAAAGAAAATAACAAAAATCTGAGCTGAACTGAACAAAAACCACAGGTGAAAATTCATATAAAAGATTGATGAAACCAAAAGTTGGTTCTTCGAAAGAATGCATAAGATTGAGAGACTGTTAGCTAGACCAATAAAGAAAAAAGATCCTAATAAACACAGAGATGACAAAGATGACATTACCACCAACCCCACAGAAATGCAGAAAACAGAACCCTCAGAAACTATTACGAATACCTCTATGCACACCAACTAGAAAACCTAGAGAAAATAGATAAATTCCTGGAAATGTAAAACCTCTCAAGATTGAACTAGGAAGAAATGGAATACTTGAACAGATCAATAATGAGTTCTGAAATTGAATCAGTAATAAAAAACCTACCAACCAGTAAAAGCCCTGGACCAGAGGGATTTACAGCTGAATTTTATCAGATGTATAAAGAAAAGCTGGTATCAATCCTATTGGAACTTCTAGAAAATATTGAGTAAGAGGGACTCCTCTCTGACTCATTATGAGGCCAGATCATTCTAATACCAAAATATGGCAGACACAATAAAAGATGAAAACTTCAGGCTAATATCCCTGATGAACACAGACACAAAAATCCTTAACAAAACACTAGCAAATTGAATCCAGCAGCACATCGAAAAGCTAATCCACCACAATCAAATAGGCCTTATTCCTGGGATGCAAGGTTGATTCAACATATGGAAATCTATGTGATTTATCACATAAAACTGAAAACCACATGATGATCTCAATAGACACAGACAAGGCTTTCAATGAAATTCAACATTCCTTCGTGTAAAAAAACCCTCAACAAAGTAGGCATTGAAGGAACAAACCTCAAAATAATAAGAGCCATTTATGACAGACCCACAGCCAACATTATAACGAATGGGTAAAACCTGGAATCATTTTCCTTGAGAACCAGAACAAGACAAGGATGCCCAATCTCACCACTCCTATTCAGCATAGTACTGGATGTCCTAGCCAGAGCAATCATGCAAGAGAAAAGTAAAAGTCATCCAAATAGGAAGAGAGGAAGTCAAACCATATCTATCTACAGATGATATAATTGTATATCTAGAAAACCCCATACTCTCTCTCCAGAGGCTTCTAGAATTGATAAACAACTTCAGCAAAGTTTTAGGATACAAAATCAATGTACAAGTATCAGTAGCATTTCTATACATCAATAACGTTGAAGCCGAGAGCCAAATCAAGAATGCAATCCCATTCACAAAAGCCACAAAAATAATAAAATATCTAGGAATACAGCTATACAGGGAAGTGAAATATCTGTGCAATGAGAATTACCACACACTGCTAAAGGAAGTTGAAGAGAACACAAACAAATGGAAAAACATTCCATGTTCATGGATAGGAAAAGTTAATATTGTTTAAATGGCCATATGTCCAACTCAGTTTACAGATTCAATGCTATTTCTACCCAACTACCTATATCATTTTTCACAGAATTAGAAAAAACTATTCTAAAATTCATATGCAACCAAAAAAGAGAATGCATAGCCAAAACCATCCTAAGCTAAAAGAACAAAAGCCAGAGGCATCATCCTACCAACTTCAAACTATATTACATGGCTACAGTAACCAAAACAGCATGATACTGGTACAAAGACAGACATATAGAGGAGTGGAACAGGTTAGAGAACCCAGAAATAAAGCTGCACACTGACAACCATCTGATCTTTGACAAAGTCGACAATAACAAGCAATGGGGAAAGGATTACCTATTTAATAAATGGTGTTTGAAGAGCTGGTTAGCCATATACAAAAGTTTGCAGCTGGACCCTTTCCTTTCTTCATATACAAAAATCAACTCAAGATAGAACAAAGACTTAAACATAAAACCTAAAACTGTAAAAAGTCTAGAAGGAAGCCTAGGAAATACCATTCTAGATATAGGCCATGGCAAAGATTCCATGATGAAGACTCCAAAAGCAATTGCAACAAAAATAAAAATTGAGAAATAGGATCTAGTTAAACTAAAGAGCTTCTACATAGCAAAATAAACTAGTGTGAGTAAACAGACAACCTTCAAAATGGGAGAAAGTATTTGCAAACTATGCATCCAACAAAGGTCTAATATCCAGATTCTGTAAGGAACTTAAATCAACAAGCAAAAATCAAACAGCCCCAGTAAAAAATGGGCAAAGGACATGAACACTTTTCAAAAGAAGACACACACAGCCAACAAGAATATGAAAAAATGCTCAACATCATTAATCATTAAAGAAATGCAGATCAAAACCATGATGAGATAGCATCTCATACCAGTCAGAATGGCAGTTATTGAAAAGTCAAAAACAAAAAGCATACGAAAAACATGCTGGAGAGGCTGTGGAGAAAAGGAAACACATACAGTGCTGGTGGTGGTAATGTAAATTAGTTCAACCACCGTGGAAAGCATTGTGGTGATTTCTCAATGTAAAACAGAACTACCATTCGATCCAGCAGTCCCCTTACTGGGTATATACCCAAAGAAATATAATTCGTTCTATCATAAAGACACATGCAAACATATGTTCATCACAGCACTGTTCACACAGCAAAGACATGGAATCAACCTAGATGTTCATCAATGGTGGACTGGATAAAGAAAATGTACATATACACCATGGAATACTACACACTATAAAAAAAATCAGATCATGTCCTTTCCAGCAACATGGATGCTGCTAGTAACATTATCCAATGTGAATTAATGCAAGAACAGAAAATCAGATACTTCATGTTCTCACTTATAAGTAAGAGCTAAACACTGAGTACTCATGGATGCAAAGAGGAACAGTAGACCCTGACTGGGCTTATTTGAGGGTGGAGGTTGGGAGGAGGGTGAGGATCAAAAAACTACCTATCAGGTACTATGCTCTCTACCTGGGAGATGAAATAATTTGTACACCAAACTCCAGTGATGTGCAGTTTACCCATGTAACAAACCTGCACTTTTAAGAAAACATTTTTAGCAGGACCCAATGAAAACATAATATCCAACATGTTCAGAATATAATGCAAAGGCACTTAACATAGAGAATCAGGGAAATCTGACAAGTTGCTAAGGGAAAAGATAACAGGTGCTCACTACAAGATGACCCAGATGGTGGATTTATCACACAAAAACTTTAAATTGGCTTTGGTAACTGTGATCCAAGAGATAAAAGTGAAAACACTTGCAATGAATGGAAAGATAGAAGTTCTCAACAGAAAAACACGTACTTTAATAAAGGACTCAAATGGAAAATGGATTGATTTAATGGCAGAGAGAGATGAAAAAAGTGAGTGAACTTAAGACAGATAAATATAAGTAATTCAAACAATAGAAATTACCTAAAATAAGAGGGAAAATGGAAAAAAAATGAACCAACTCTTAAGGACTTGTAGGACAATATTTGGATTTCTAACATTTGTGTCAGCATAATGCCAGAAGAGGAAAAACAAATATCTGAAGAAAAAATATTTAAAGATACAAGGCCTGAAAACTCTCCAAACTTGGTGAAAGACATAAACTTACAGATTCAAGAAACTCAGCAAACTTCAAATGGTATTATTTCAAAGAAAGCCATGCCCAGATAATATTATAATCAAATTGCTGCTAATGAAATTGTTGGGCATATCAGGAGCTTGTAGTCACCAGTCTGCTCTAACAGGTAAAAAATGGGACAAATTGAAAAATCAGCAGTTCTTCCTGGACCTAAAGAGAAGTGAGGTCATAGGACAAACCACTACCCCCAAAACTGGAGAGGCAGGTGGATACAGCTAACCATAATTTACTTGAGTGATAACCAATTAACAAAGTCTTCCATGGGAAACATTGCTTGTATAGGAAAACCTGCATTATAGTTGACAAATTGCTAGAGATTCACTGTGGACAAATCTTAGATTTTAAAAACTCCAGGAGGACCTAGTAAGCAGAAGTGGGTGGAGGGGTCTTCCACTCTTATGAATTTCACCTCTTGCTGCTCTACCAGGTTTTCACAGTGAATATTTGAGAAAATTTCCCTTTGCTTCTGGCACAAGGAAGGGAAAAGGAGCCATTTTGAAGTATGCCAGAGTACTCTGTTTTGTTTTGTTTTTAAATGAGGTCTGCTTCAGAAAAAATTAGTTAAAACACAGTGTAAGTGGCCTGGGGTAAGCAAAGCACCCAATTCTAGTTCTCTCTAGCCTTTTATTTGAGAAAAGGGGAATATTAAACTCCTCTACCCTCTAGCCATTCTGTTCCAACTAAGAGAGAAGAGAACTGAGAAGCACTTGTGAAGTTCCCAGTCCAGAGGCACAGCCTCACTAAAGCTTGAGACCTAATCATAACACTGTAGAGTGTTTCTCCTTCTCCTACACCTTACCACTTTATTACTGACAATGTATTTATATCCGTTAACCAGTGTGTCATGTCTGGCTATCAAGAAAAAAATGAGAAGATACAGTAAAAGGGGGAAAAATGGGCTGAAGGAAGAGACAGAGCAAACATCAGAATCAAACTCAGATATGTCAGGGGTTCTGGAATCATCAGATTGGGAACTGAAAACAACTATGAATAATAAGCTAAGGGCTCTAATGGATAAAATAGCTTGCAAGGACAGATGGGTAATGTAAGCAGAGAGATGATAATTCTAAGAATCTGTAAAAGAAATGCTAGAGATCAAAAACACTATGCCAGAAATGAAGAATATGGGGCTGGGTGCAGCAGTTCATCCCTGTAATCCCAATGCTATGGGAGGCTGAGGCAGGAGAATCACTTGAGACTGGGAGTTTGAGACCATCCTGGGCAACATACTAAGACTGCATCTCTACAAAAAGTTTTAAAAATAGCTGGACATAGGTGGTGCATGCCTGTAGTTCCATCTACTTGGGAGGCTGAGGTGGGAGGATCCCTTGAGCTCAGGATTTGGAGTCTGCTGTGAGCTGTGATCACACCCATGTCCTCTAGCCTGGGTGACAGAGCAAGACTCCGACTCAAAAAAAAAAAAAAAAATGTCTTTGATGGGCTTTAATAGACTGGACATGGCTGAAGAAAGAATGTCCAAGCTTGAGGATGTTTTTAAAAGAATCCTCCAAAACTGAAAAGCAAAGTGAAAAAATACTGGAGTAAACAAACCATAACGGAATATCAGAACCATGGGGACAACTACAAAAGGTGTAACATACATATAAAAGAAATATCAGGAAGAGAGAAAGGAAAAGAAGAAATATTTGAAGCAATAATGACTGAGCATTTCCCAGCCAAACCACAGATCCTACAATTTCCTAGTTGACAAAGCAGAATAAATGGCAGAATAGCTATGTGAAGGCATGTCATTTTTAAACTACAGAAAAATCAAAGGTAAAAATCCTGAAATAAGCCAGATCATAATAAATAATATTATATATTATCTATATAATAGCAAAGATAAGAATACCTTTTTCTCAGGAACAGTGCTAGCAAGAAGAGAGTGGAGTGAAATATTTAAAGTGTTGAGAGAATGAAGCCCTACCAGTCTAGGATTTTGTACCCTGTTAAATTTTTCCTTCAAAAGACAAGGATAAATAGAAAATTGCTTAAACAAAGGAAATTTGTTGCCAGTAGACTTGCCATGCAAGAAATGTAAAAAATGATATGTCAGAAACTCAGATCTACGTAAGAAAACATTGGAGAGAAATAAATGAAGGTAAAATAAAACTTTCATTTTTTAATTAATCATTGATCTGAGACAACACTTTATTGAAAATAGTAGCAATAATGCCTTTGATTATGTGTGCTTGTCTATATATATACTTGTCTATACTTAAGCACATATATACATGGTTTGTTTATGGTTCATTTCCCCCCAGTATTTTTTCTCCTTGCTTTTCAGTTTTGGAGGTTTCTGTTACATACATATATCCTCAAGCTCAGAGACTCTTTCTGGTGTGTACATGTGCTTGTATGTGCATGTGTGTGTGTATATGTTTATGCTTATTTATATGTGAAATGCATGACAGAAATTATACAAGGGATGGATGGAAGGAATTAGCATTATTTTGCTATTATAAGGTATTCATACTACTCATGAAATGATCTAGTGGCACTTGAAGGTGGACCTGAATTAGTTGTAAATGTATATTGCAAACTCTAGGGCCAGCACAAAGAAAAAGTAATGAAAGCAGTATAACCAATGTGGTGAGAAAGGAGTGAAGATAAAATCACGTAAAATGCTCAACTAAATCCACACAAGGCAGAAAAAGGGTGAATGACAAAAATAAGAACAAATAAATGAAAACAATAAATATGGTAGACTTTGATCTAATTGTCAGTAATCACTTCGAAGGTCAGTGGTCTAAATGTACCAATTAAAAGGCAGATTGCAGGAGTGCCTATAAAAACAAGACCCAACTTTATTGCTGTCTATATGAAACTCTTTAAATATAAATACACATGGATTAAAAGCATGGGAAAGATATGCCATGCTAACATTAATCAAAAGAAAATAGGATTAGCTATATTAATTTCAAACAGCAGATTTCAGAGCAAGTAAAGTTATCAGGGATAAAGACACATGAGTTCTATAATGGTAAAAGTGTTAGTTCTCCAATTTACCTTATGTGCCTAATAACAGAGTGACCAAATTCTCAATGCAAATACTGGTAGAACTGTGAGGAAAAAATAGATGAATCACTATTATAGTTGGAGACTTCATTACCCTTCTATCAGAAATGGCCAGATTTAGCAGGCAGAAAATCAGTACAGACATTGTTGAACTCAACAACACCATTACTCAACTGGATATAACTGACATCTGTAGACTACTTCATCCAACAACAGAATACACATTCTTCCCTAGCTCAGATAGAACATAGAACGTAGAACACATTCTGAACTGTGAAACCTTAACAATTTAAAAAGAATACAATCATATAATAACTGTCCTTAGGCTACAATGGAATTAAACAAAATCAACAGCAGAAGGATAGCTGGATAATTCCAAAATGCTTGCAGGTTAAACAACACACTTCTAAATAACATGAGTCAAAAAATCTGAATAAAAATAGCAAAAAATTTAGAGCTAAATGAAAGTGAAAAATGAAAATTTGTGGGATTCACTGAAAGCAGTGCTTTTAAATTTATAGTATTTGATGTATTTAGTAACAGAAGGAGAAAGTGCTAGAGTCAGTCTTCTAGGCTTTGACCTTAGGAGACAGGAAAAGAGGGAATTAAATCCAAGGTAGGCAGAAGATAAGAAATAGTAAATATTGGAGTGGAAATGAAATTGGAAACAGGAAATTGATAGAGGAAATCTACAAAACAAAAAACTGGTTATTTGAAAAGGTAAAGTAAGCAGAGCTTTAGTCAGGCTAAGAAAAAAAGAGACCACATAAATTGCGAATATCAGATATGAAAGAGGTGACAGCACTACAGATTCCATGGACATTAAAAATGACAAAGGAATACTATGAATAACTCTATCCCTACAAGTTTGATAACCTAGATGAAATGGACCAATTCCCTGAAAGATACAATATATCATAACCTTCCAAAACTGAAAGCACCAGGTTCAGATGGGTTTACAAGTGAATTCTAGCAAAGATTTAAGAGAGAAACTGTACCAATTGTTTAGAATTTCCTTTAGAAGGTAGAGGCAGAGGGAATGCTTTCTAACTCATTTTATGAAGCCAGTATTAATACCAAAGCCAGAAAATACAAGAAAACTATAGACCAGTATCTCTCAGATACATAGATGTAGAAATCATCAATAAAATATTATAAAATTGAATTCAACACTAAAGACATATACCATTATGAATTGGGATTTGTCCCAAGTATGCAAGACTGATTCAGCTTTTTAAAATTGATATTATCACATCAACAGACTAAATAATCACATCATATCAATAGAATTTCGAGACCAGCCTGGGTAACAGAGCAGTACCCTCTTTAAAAAATAGTAAAATAAGAAGAATAACTAAAAAGTGACAGTAATCAAGACAGTGTGGTGAAAGAATAGACACGCGTAGATCAGTGAGACAGAGAGCCCAAAAATGGACTTTTTAAGATGCTTAGCAGCATTTCTGGCCTGTATTCACTAAGTGCCAGTAGCAAAACTTCTGCTGGTTTAGCAAATGTGTCCAGTAGGTGACAGTTGTCCCTAGGTAAGAGGGTTCAGAGGGCCATATCTGAGAACCACTGCCCTAATCCCCACCTTGAAGTCCCTGCATATAACCGGTTGGGTCTTCTGTTCCTTTATATAAATATGGGCTGATATTTGTCCTGCTTATATTCCGAAGGTGGCCCTAAGCTTCAAATGAGATAATGACTTGGAAGTGCTTTGACAAAAACGCCAAACAGAGTTTATTATTTTATGTGGTTAGGAATAAGAAAATGCTGCAATAAAAAATTTTTAAAGGATGTCCAGAGGTGAAGGGAAGTAACTAGGATGGTCACAACAGAAGAAAAAGCATTTTGAATAGAGATTGAGAAGATTGATATTTAAGGGAAGATGTAAAATGGCTGTTCAAAAAGGATCTTGTTGGATGGCATTACTTTGGCATCACCCAAATCCAGGTTCTGGCCTTCTATTTTTCTGTTCTGTAAAGTTGATTTTTTCCTTTTCAGTTCTTATTGAGTTGATTGGGGATAGAGCTGATTATTTCCATTAACCCAACCTAAAATAGACTTGAGAAAGGACCAGAATGCTTTTTGTAAAATAAGGAGAAGTACCAAGCGAAGTGAAGTGCCCTGTTTAGCTGGTCAGTGTTTTGGGGTTTTTTGTTCTGTCTCTTCTTACAGAAGAAGGATCTGACACCTTTATGGAAAGTTGTTTGGTGAACTTGTAATCAGAACAAAGCAGTTATTTGCATTCCTAGGACAGTGTAGTTGGTGACTGATAAATGTTCATGTTCTTTTGGTTTCTTTCCAGTGTATAGAGAAATCTACCAAATCAAGCAGAACTTTTCACTGGTTTGTCAGGGCACTCTTTACCCTGTCTCTGCCAGAAACACTTCAACAAGTCTCTGAGTTTTTTTTTTTTTTCCTGCCATAGATTTTATACAGACTAATTGGCCTTCTAATAATACTCTTTGTCAAACTAATAATAAATGACAAATTAGGTTATATCATATTCCGTTTATGCCTTTCTGAGGGAATATACTTATTGCATTCACTTATGATAACTTTGGTGTTTGGAAACCTCCATTCAGGAATTTGTTTATAAACTACCTCTTAAGGAAAGGAACCATGGTGATAGTAATGTTTTTGTAACAATGACAAATAGCTCTCTTAAACTGATTGTATATAAGAAATAATGAGCAGCAAAAAGTTAGGGGTGCACAGTATTGACATGAAAACTGTTGATTAAACCCAGAATTTAAGAAGTCATAGCAAGTAAGTAATGTGGAACTGATGCCTTGTCTGATAAAAAAGGTTACATGCCTAATAATTAGATTTTAAAACATGAGATATTTGTTAGATGAATAATAATAATAATAAAAGCTATTGAAGGAAACCGCTTCCTGTAGAAACTAGGCACCCTTCTGTCCTTTTTTTTTTCAACCATGGTCCTAATTAATTCATATATTCTGCATTTCCATGGTAACAAGATAGCATCTGTAGATGCTGGTAATTTAGCAGTTGCTAATGAATTATAATAACAGGTACTATTACAGAAATGTCAGCTATTATACTGGAGACCATAGTTCAGGAGACTTTTCTTTTTTCTCTGACTTAATTTCTTTTATATTTCTTGACATATTTAAGATGCACATAGTTTTCACCCAATTTTTTTTTATTGAGTGGATGCAAAAGAGAGATAAATTTGTTACTAAATACCACTAAAAGGATTGTTTGGAAACATTTAATGAATAAGTATAATGTATAATTGCATTCATTAAGCTATACATGTTTTTTGAATGTATTATTTCTGGGAATGAATACCAGAAAGAGTGAATACCAGAAAGACTTTGAGATTTTAGATACATTGTATTTTTATCTCCTTTTTATTTCTCTTTTTCTTTCCTCACTCCTTCATTTCAACAGACACTAAATACCTAATCTTTCCAAAATTATACTAGATTCTCCTTATACATTATTTTTATAACTATAGTATGAAGTATATAATTATCCATTAGCTAAGCACAAATGAGATGCATAAATGTATGCAAGACTGTCTTCCTCTGCCCATTTTATGTCTAGACATTCCTAGACATGGCTGTTCACCAGTGGCCACATTTCTTACAAGAAGACACTGTGGTCAGCTCTTGATGGTTCAGGCACTGTCTAGCTCTTTCTTTGTGACTTGTTTTTGGGCCATATTCCTGCTGTTTTTACCTCTCATCAGTGAGTGGATGAGAAAAAAAAAACAAGAGATCTCATATTAAGTTAATTAGTTTGATATTTATCAGCTGTGTCTATGATTTTTTTTTTTTGTAGAGTATGTTATTTTTAAATTTATGGGAAAATTTATAATTCTGAGGGTTAAATTTTCTGTGAAACAAAATATTTGTGCACCATGATAAGAATGAACAATTTGCTTTTCTCATTCCCTGGCCATCTTGGCGGCTGTTCTTGGTTGGGGGCCATCTGGCACCTAAGCCAGGAATATGATGGTGGCAAAAATGATGGAAAAGTCACTGGAGTTGATCAACGCTAGGCTCCAACTTGTTATGAAAAGTGGAAAGTATGTCCTGGGGTACAAGCAGATTCTGAAGATGATTAGATAAGAAAAAGCAAAATTGGTCATCCTCACTAACAAGTGCCCAGCTTTGAGGAAATCCCCAATAGAGTACTACACCATGTTGGCCTAAACTGGTGTTCATCACTACAGTGGTAATAATACTGGACTGGGCACAGCATGTGGAAAATACTACAGACTGTGCACACTGGCTATCATTGATCCAGGTTATTCTGATGTCTTTAGAAGCATGCCAGAAGATACTGGTGAAAAGTAAACCAAGCAAAATAATTTTTCTTTAGTAAAACTTGCCAGAGGTTTATCCTTGTAATCCCTAATCCCAGCACTTTGGGATGCTGAGGTGGGAGGATCACTTGAGGCCAGTAGTTGGAGACCACCCTGGGCAACATAGTGAGACCCTGTCTCTATAAAAATAAAACGAAAAATAAATAGCTGGGCATGGTAGTGGTTCCCCGTTGCCCAAGCTACTCAGGAGGCTGAGGCAGGAGTATGTCTTGAGTCTAGGAAATCGAGGCTGCAGTGAGTCAAGATTGCATCAGTGTGCACCAGCCTCGGTGACAGAGTGAGACCCTTTCTTCAACAAGAAAAAAAGAATAAGCAATTTTCACCGGAAGCAATCTGTCTATGGGATTAAACAGTGAAGAAGAAAGAAGAGAAAAAGTAAATAGAAAAATTGGATTTTATGCTGAATATTCTTTGACTAATATAAAGTTTGGGGAGAGAGAAGAAACGTGCAGTTGTATGTGCTTTAATATTTCTGCAGTCCTGAATAGATGTGTAATAAATTAGTAATTTCTGCAGTCCAGAATAGATGTGTAGAAGTAATACTAATTAGTATTAGTAGAATGATGAAGACAAAAATGAGTAGAAAGCTATATGTTTAGGGAGACAGCAGAATGATATTAGAAATTAACACTAATTGCATAGAATTAGCATGTCTGTATAAATAAAATGGTTTAAAAGGATTTGGAAACAATATTAACCATGTTTATTATGTTTAAATAATATACTCATTTTATTACTAAAGAGTAAAGTTCTTTCAAATAAACATGGTTCTTAGATACAAAATATATTATCAACAACAGCAACAAAGTGAGACCCCATTTCTACCAAAATAAAAAATTAAAAAATTAGCCAGGCGTGGTGGCACGTGACTGTAGCCCTATCTACTCAGGAGGCTGAGGTGGGAGGATCACTTGAGCCCAGGGGTTCAAGGCTGCAGTGACCTGTGATTGCACCACTGTACTCCAGCCTGAGCACAGCGAAGGACCCTATTGCTTAAAAATAAATAAATAAGAATTTATATAGTAAACTAGCACTTATGCTTTCCTCATGCATCCTGTACATTAGCTAACTGAATCCTAAAGCCTCTTGGTATCACCCTCGATTTGCAGTTTTGTACACCGGGAACCAGGTAAGTCATTTTCCCATGGTTACATATGAAGTGTAAGTGGCAGACCTGCAACTCGAATATTGTTCGTTATTGAAATTCAAACATGTTCTGTCTATATGCCACATAACATATATGATTTACTTTGAATTTATTTAAATTAGTTTCCCTAAGAATTGTAAAACTAAGTCCTTAAGATTTTTAAATCTCATAATTTGAGAAAAAAAGCTTTTTGTCAACTTTGAGATTTAGCTTTTGATAGTTATGTGGCTCTGTTATCTTTTCATGAAGACTTAATTTTCCTTTCATTGACTTACTTCATTTTAACTTGCAAGCTTAGTTCATGAAACTGCCTGACAAACCCAAAGCAATCTTCCGCCTCTTATGAATGAACTCATGAGTCTTTCTTATCCATAGGAGTACACTTACCACATTATGCATCATCATAATTATGTGTTTTTATTAACTGTACTTTTTTGTCTCCAGCTACATCACTCAGTTCCTTGTATTTTACATTTTATATGTAGGCATGGCATTTTATTCTGGTTATGTGTGAAACATTTTCGGAATAAGTGATGGATTATTATTGCTTATTTATATCTTAATTCTACCTCTAGAACATAGTGGGACATCTTTTCCTAGTGAATATTTATTAGGCAGAGTCTGAAGGAGCTGATAGTCTTTAATGCTTTATCGCTTTCTTTAAAAGTGCATGTTATTTCTCTGACCAGACATTGATGTACTACTCAATTTTCCTTTAGGATAGTGACGTTTTAGATAAGTAGAACTAGCAAGAATATGTGTGGGTTTGTTTTATAGCTAGCTTTGGGGCCATTTACTGAATGTTATACTCAGTACAGTTTGTTCTTTCACTCATTGCATTATACATCATGAGATGCAGGCCTGAAGCTTTCTGGTTGACCTCTTTGCCTGGAGAGAGTGGTAGGTTCCAGGGACTCAAAGTTAAATTTATAAATATTTAATCTCAAACCTCTACATTTAGTTACTTCGATTAGGATGCTCTGTTTAATATGTGTGTGTTTCTTAAGTTGCTTTGAATGTGTAAGTTTTCTAAAGCTTTTTGAAAAGTGTGCCAAGTATAAATACTTTTAGAGGGACTGTTTAGCCACATAAACATGAATATTAGGATTAGACAGTCTTGCCATTTACTGGCTGTGTGACCTTGGATGTTTTGTCACACTTGTGATGTTATAGCTGGTTGTAAAATGGGGCTAACAATAACTATTTCAACGTGCTTTTGTGAGACTTTGAAATAAAACACTTATGTAAAACCTGCCTCATGGTAGGTATTTAAGAAATTATTGTTTAGCTCCTGACTCACCTTATCTCCATTGTGGTTATGTTTTGTAATAAAGTATCACAATAGAATATTTGTATCCTCTGAAAATAATTGGCCCTTTGGGTCACTTCAGGTTGTGGTAGAGAAGTTATAAGGTGTCCAAGCCATATAGAACATTTGTAGAGTCTTAGATGACAGCTAATAATTTTTGTTTGTTTGTTTGTTTGAGACAGTCTCATTCTGTTGCCCAGGCTGGAGTGCAGTGATATGATCACAGCTCACTGCAGCCTTGACCTCCTGGGCTCAAGTGATCCTCTTGCCTCAGCCTCCTGAGTAGCTAGGACTACAGGCATGCACTACCATGCCCAGCTAGTTTTTTTTTTTTTTCTTGTAAAGATGAGGTTTCACTATGTTGCCCAGGCTGGTCTGGAACTCCTGAGCTCAGGCAATCCTTCTGCCTTGGCTTTCCAAAGTGTTGGGATTATAAGATAGGTGTGAGCCACCATGCCTGGCAACAATAGTTTATAAAAGGGCAGATTGTACAGGGTAGCAGAGAGATTTGAGTAAGTTATTAACACAGCCAGAATAATCCATAATTATTGTGTACTCTCAGCAATTTATTTTCATGTCGATATTCCTGTTCAGGTAGCCTCCTGTGGACTGGAGTTACCTTCATTTTGCTTTCTGATCTCACTTTAATATTGCTGTTCTATCTCATTTTTTTAGTATCTAAAATTTAAGCTTTTCAAGATAAGTATAACTTTCTGGTATCAGTATATACAGTATTTGCTGAACGAATTAGAAATAAAAAAACTGGGATTGTTTTGCTGCATCACTTAAGGATATCAATATTTAGTTTTTAAATGCTCCTTTTAATCAGTATTATTCAGTTTTAAGAAAAAATAATTTTTCTTTGAAATGATCAATTTTTAGATTGAATTTTTATTTGATAAGGTTTGATTTAATTAATTAACCATCAGTTACAGGTTTTTGCAGGATTTCTAGTACTATAACTAATGATTCACTGTGATTTTTGCTGTTGCTTCTCACCACTAATACTTAGTCTTTTGTGATAGCCTTGAACAGCATCCTTGATGGAAACAGTAACAATTTTGATGAAATATTTTGCTCTATTTGTTATGGTGGAAAGTCAGTCTACTGAGCTTTTCCTATGAGATGTAGCTTGCCTGTGAAGGATTCTGATTTTGGTAATTTTAAGAAGGCAGGAGAACACTGTGGGACACTTACTTGGAATGAAGTTCCCTTGATTTTAAAAAGAATTTCCTTGCACTGTGGGAGTCTGTTAGTCTATTTCAGAGATTATTGTCATTTTTATTCTTTCCTTCTTTTATCAATAAATAATGACTCCATATTAGGTATTTTTATTTACATTGAAATATATCAAAATAATGTTTACTATTTATTTTTGAAACTTATATGTTAAAAAGTTAAGTCCACTTTCTTGTGACAAATGGATTAAGGGTATGTGTGTATGTATGCGTGAGTATACATATTAATATATATGTATACACAATACACATAATATAATATATATATTTTAGAGACAGGGCACTCTCTCTTTGTCACCCAGGCTGGAGTACAGTGGAGCGATTATAGCTCACTGCAGCCTTGAACTTGCGGACTCAAGTGATCATCCTGACACAGCTGCCTGAGTAGCTGGGATCACAGGTGTGCCCCACTGTGCTTGGCTAATTTTAAAAAATGTTTTATACAGACAGGTTCTTACTGTGTTGCCCAGGCTGATCTCAAACTCCTGGCTTGAAGCGATCCTCTCATCTTGGCCTCTGAAAGTGCTGGGATTACAGGCATGAGTCACCATGCCTGGCCATATATTTTATATTTTAAATGATATTTATAATTGGTACTGAAGAATTCTCATACAAAAATCACTGGAGAAAAATAATTCGAAGTTTGATATATTTTGTGTAAGAACTGATGTTTGGTTTTTTTAAAAAGTAAAAAATAGTTAATGAGATTATAGTCAACATTTTTCTGGGGTAAGCTGAATAAAACATGAAGTCAAGTCTTTAACATATTTGGATTTGCACACCTTAATTAGTCCGTCCTCTATGACTTTCTTGTTGGAGTCATTCTTCCGGTTATAAATAGCCCCGGCTTGGTCATCCAAATGAACGTGCATGGCTATTGTCATTTCATTGCTATGGCAATTTTGCAATTAGTGTGGTAGTTGCTGGCACACTTCTGGGCAAGGGTTTTGATGCATTGACTTGGAAGTGGAAGAATGAAACTGCTTTCACAGCTGCTGTGTGATTCTGAATAGAGACATAGCAGCTGCTTTTTTTTTTTCTTCAGTTTTTTTTTTTTACTAATTTAGATGTAGGCATTATGCTTCGATGAATTGTTGGCAGGAATATCTCCTTGTTCCCCTGTCTGTCAAAGGAAAACTAATTTGGATTTCAAGTAAATATTGGGGCAGGTTGTTTGTGAAAGTTTCTTTCACTCCTTGTGAAAGAAAGTAGTCCTGTAACTGGTTTTTCTGTCTATCCTTTATCTTCAAAACGGAAATGTCACAAGTTGTGGAATAATCAGTAACTGACAAATAAACTTCACTGGGAGATTTTTAGTTATTGAAATGTATGGATTTGTCCCATTTCTAGGGATAAAACAAAAAGTTGATTGGAGGCATTAATGAGGGCGTATCTATATAAAATAAGTTGTAAAATAGATACCGGAAAATGGTATTAATAGAATCATTAATGAAGGGGTATCTATATAAAATAACTTGTAAAAATAGATGCTGGATAAATGATATTTATAGAAGCATTAATGAAGGGGTAGCTATATAAAACAACTTGTAAAATAGATACCAGAAAAATGGTATTTATAGTGGCTAGCTTGCTATTAACTTTTTTGGTCAATGTCACTTAAAATGTGAGCTATAATGGCTCCTTATTCTTCCATCACCAAGTTCTCATAAAGATAGATAAAGCAGGGTAGTAAATCAGTCTTTCAAAAGGAACACTTTCCTCTAAATTTAGAGCATAATTAATGTTAATGTCACCCTCGAAGATTTGAGGAAAATTTTCTCCTACAACTTTAATTTGGATGTTTATAGTAAACCCTTTAATTTTTTTTCCAAGAGCTTATTACTTTTCTTTTAAACATGGAAACTCAGTATAATTTTCTTCTAGAAATATGGAAGCTTATACAATGCAGTAAAACTTAGTTTAGACATTGATTTCTCTGCTGAAAGTACTCCTAAAATATCTTAGAGAGTTGATGTTTTAAGTTACAAACGTCTTCTTCTATTTTTTCCTGATAGTCCTCAGATATATATGCTTTTTTTTCTGTTTTGCATTATGAGCAAATAATTAGTACTTCTTTACATCAGTATCCATGTTCACAAGTGATGGATCTTTTGAGGTTTTGGGATTTTTTTTTCCCCTGAAGCTACAAAAATAAGAAAGTAAGAAATTTAGTTTTTTTCATGAATAATAATCTTGATTTCTGCTCAGGGGACTATCCTCTACCATCAGCTAGGGCAGATTAAATTGAAGATTGCAGGATTTCTCATTATAAAACTGTAGCCTCACAAGACCACCTATCTGATCTCTTAAAAACTTAATAAGCTTATTTTTGGTATGTATTTTTTAACACATCAATTTTTAACAATTGACTTTTGTATGTAATAAGAAGTAGGGGTTCAATTTTATTTTTTTACACATGGATACCCAGTTGTCTCACCACCATTTATTAAAAGGTCCATCTTTCCCCCCTGATCTACAGTAGCTGTTCTGTTGTATGTCAAGGGCTGATGTGTGGGTGTGTCTCATTCTGGGTTTTCTATTCTGTTCTAATGGCCTTTCTTTTTCTGTATATACTGTGTTTATTATAGTAGCATATAATAAATCTCGATATGGGGAAGAAGTCCTCCTTTATTTTTCAAGAGTAGTGACTAATCTTGGCCCATTGTCCTTCCAGCAAGGATCAACTTTTAAATTTCCTTTTTTTTTTTTTGGATTGTCAAATTTGAAAACCCCCACAAACTCATTTGGGTTTTGATGTCAACTGTATTAAATCTGTATGTCAATTTGGAAAGTACAGTCATCTTTTGATGTTCATGGGGGATTGGGTTCACGACCCCACTTGTGTGGACACCAAATTCTGTGGACGTTCAATTCCCTTGTATAAAATGGTATAGTATTGGCATATGTCCAACACCTATGCTTCAGTGTACCTTAAATCATCTCTAGATTACTTGCCGTGCCTAATAGAATGTAAATGCTGTGTACATAGTTGTTACACTGTACCTTTAGAACTTTGTATTATTTTTGATTGTGTTTCTTTCCCAGAATGACCCTCTATATTTCTAGTTATGTTTTTTGCCTCAATGTTTATGTTGTCTGGATTAATATGGCTATCTTCACTTTCTTTTGTTTAGACTTTTCTCTGTTTGTTTTTTATCCTTTTGCTTTTAGTCTTGTTCCTATCATTTTAAGTTATGTTTCCTGCACAAGACTAAAGTATAAATTTTAAGTCCAGACTGATTGCCCTTCTTTTTACTTGGTACATTTGATTCATTTATATGTATTAGATCTACCATTTTCTGTTGCCTTTTCTTTCCCAGCTTATTTATGCTGCTGCTTCTCTCCTTTTTGCCTTTTTGAATTGCCTTGCTTGTGTGTGTATATATATTTTTTCATACAATTTTTTCTCAAGTAGTTTGGAAGTTGTATTTGCATGTATTTTTAGTAGTTGCCACTGAAATTTTACTCATACATATTTAACATAACAAAATCTGAAGTTACATAATATCTTTATCTTTATTCTGAATAATATATGCAACTTAAAGCACATTAACTTTCTTTAACCTTCTCCCAATTTTAGTTCTATTGTTGTCATGTCTTTTGATTCTCTTCTCTTGAGCTTGCATTTATGCACCACAAGATAACTGTTAATGACTTTAAAATTTATTTTCTACATCTTTATCATTTTCTATGCTCTTGATTTCTTCCTGCATCTTTATTCTTGCACTATCCATTTGGGATCACTGTTTATCTAAAATACACTTTCAGAATTTCCTTATTTAGGAATTTTGCCCTTGTTCTTGAAAGATACTTTTTTCTGTTGGACTAGAAACTAAGTTGATTGTGCAATGAGGATACTATTTTACTGTTTTCTGGGTTCCATTGTTACTGTTGAAAAGTCAGCTGTGGTTTAATAAAGAAATTCTAGCAGCAGTGAGAATATTGAGTATGCCCAAAGTAAAGCGATTATTTCTTGTTTCCTACTTTTGTATTTAAAACAAAAACAAAAGCTAAAGCAAAAAAACAACCCAGTGTACATGGGAATTTTCCTTTCTGCGTTGATTTCTGATCCCTTTCCATAAGTATGAAGATAAACACACAAGCTTAAGGTTGAACATACCTAAAGAAAGAAAACCTTAGGATTTTGGGGATCCTTTACAACTTGCCATGACAAATGTAACAAAAGAAGGTTTTCAAGTTTTTGCATTTACTGCTACTTATTTAAGTAGTTTTCATCAAGTTAAAGTCAGCCCTTTGAAAATGAATGTAAATTATCTTTAGCCATATACCTATCATATGTTATTTACCTGTCATCCATTCATCATCCTTCCACATCTGTCTATATGTCTGTGTTACTATATGTCTGTGATATGAGCTGTCTGTCCATCGATGCATCCATCCATCCATCCATCCATCCATCCATGCATCCATCCATCCATCCGTCCATTAATATAGATTTTCATCCACAATTTCTGGCTTACAACTCCCATAGACCTTTGTTACAGTCTTTTTAAAATAATATTGGGGCCCTTTGGGCCCCAGAAGTAGGATCAGGAAACAGAATCTCTCTCTCCCTGGCCTTCTCTTGATCTCCTTTCACTGTCCAAGACAGGACTCTAATCTTCCATTGTGGATTATAAGGCCCCCAGTCCAGAGAGCATCCTCCCTATACCCTTGGAGGAAGGAATGCCACACAGAAGGGTCAAGAAGAATCTAACAGGCCTTTCTGGGTTTCCTCATTCATTCTGTTAGTGTAAGGTCATACCCTTTTTGTCCGATCACATTTTGATATGGTTATCTATGCTTCAATCATGCCTTTTCAATGAAGTCTCCATAAAAGGCCCAGGAAACTAGCTGAACACATGGAGGTTCCTGGAGGGTGGCACATTCAGGAAGGGCATGGAAGCTCCGTGCTCCTTCCCCATACATTGTCCTATGTATTTCTTCATCTATATCCTTCATCATATCCTTTAGAACAAACCAGTAAACAACTTTCCCTGAGTTCTGTGAGCTGCTCTAGCAAAGAAATCAAACCTAAAGTGGGAGTTTGGGAACACCAGCATGAAGCTGATTGGTCAGAAGTTGATTGTTGTGGTGTGAGAGCAGAGGAAAAATAGTTTAAGGTTTTCCATACTCAATGTGTATCTGTTTTATCTATCTATATGTCTATCTTATCTATCTGTCATCCAGTTTTCCATCTACTTCCTCTGTCTCCTCTGGCATAGGGTATTGACTCTGTATAAATGAAATGTATTGAAATGTGCCATTAGCATACTTGTAGATGGAGAGTTTGTAAAAATCTAATAAAAAGGGATAAGACAATGGAGCTAGGTGTTTTACAATCAAATCATTGAGTAGCAGCAGTGCCAAAAGTTATATTACCTCATCATATGTCAAAGAAAATCACTACCTCTATTCTGGCTGTGTCAGTGTCTCAGAGTTACTGCAGCAGAAATAAGTGATAATGCCAGCATTCATGCCAGCTAATTTGTACAAGAGCTAGGCTCTGTTGGCTGAGTCACAGCTGCCACTAGATCTACAAGTAGAGTGAAAAGATGTTTATTAGCCATGGAGAGTAATACATGGGTTTATTTTAATCAACTTGTTCTAAAGCCAGCCTAAGAGAGATGATACTGCCCTTTTCACAGTCATCTGACTCGTTCATGAAGTGTTTGTCATATAATGTAGAGTCTGTTTCTCAGAATATTATGAGCCATAGTTACGGCATCTTGCTTATCACCCTTCGTAAATGTTAGGTAGCTATATAATCTTTTTCAGCCCTACAGGAAAAAGTTTGTTCAAATGTTGTAAAATGTTTCACCATAATTAGTGCCTGCCATTTCAAAGAACTAAGCAATTTGGAGTTACATGTATATAGCTGGTTTACTGAAGAACAAAATATGAAATTGATTAAGTCCATTAAAATAATTTTGGCTGCATAGTAAAGAGAATCAAATGACGTTCCCTCTCTTTTTTTTCAGTCCATTCCCTTTTATCTTTAGTGAGATCTAGCTTTATGATGAAAGCCAGGTGATACAGAACTAGAGCTCCAAAAAACAGACTTTTTGTTTCATTTTAGGAATGCAATTTCTAATTCTTCTCATTGCTCTGTAACAAACTTTTCTATTTTCTAATTTAAAAGTATCTTGGAAGATCAAGTGCAAAAGGTATGCATGTAGAAAATAATTCCCTATTTTATAGTTATAAAATAAGGGAAAGTGAAGGTTAATTTGGCTGTGTTTTTCCTCAAACATTGGAAAACTGACTATAGTTAGAGGACTATGATTGCCATGGATTATCATCGAAGACCCTGGGAAAACAAGTTATGTGACATTGTTTGTAGATCTTAAAAACATGCCTTTTTCTTCTGCATGTTTACTTCGTTAAGTTTTTACTATATATTTATAGTAAAATATATATAGTAAATCAATCTATCTATCTATCTATCTATCTATCTATCTATCTATCTATCTATCTGGAGAGAAATTTTCAAGTGTAAGCAGCATAGGGACATTTGTATGCCCTAGATGGAAAGATAATATTGTAAGTGGTTGATGAAGATAATATCCGTTGGTGGGTGGCTTTTATTATTTTTACCACTTAAAAATTCAAAGGCCAGGTCCATTCAGTCTAAGTTTCAGACACAGGAAAGAATTAACAGAGATCTTTGGTAATTAAGGTGGACATTATGTTGCCCTATAAACTGTGCTTCTTTGAAAGTTGAAAAAATAAGCAGAAATTTTTGTGTAAAAATTATTCAGGCATAGTGTTCCAACTGCGTAAAATTCTTAGCCATTGTTATCACATGCTAGAACAGAAAAAGACCAGTTAATGCTTTGAAGTTGATATCAGAGAGGTCAAGAAATTCTATCAGTGTAGCTCAAGAAATATGTTACTTAGAACTAAGAAAATAGAACCACTGGAAAAATGGTTAAGGAAACGCTCAGCAGTGTACCCATTTACCTGGATTTCTGTAGTCCAAATTAAGTAAAATATTAAATAAAACACTCGAGTCACAATAATTTTTCCTCAAATATCTGCAGTTGTTGCTCTATGTCATTTCATATTACCTACTTTTTATTACTTTATGGACAAGCTGTTTTTTCTTCCTGCCCCACCCATAAATTTTTTTTAAATCAATTTTTATTAACCTTGCAAATCAGAAAATTGTATAGGATGTTTCCAGCTTTAGCACCCATACCTGAGTTCATTTATTTTTCTTATAATGGTTTCTTTTTCAACAATATCTTTTATCATTGCAATTTCCTTTGCTTTCTGCTCATGGAGAGCATATTAAATTGATGTTCTATACTTCTGATTCAGACTTCACACAGCTTCATTTCTACTCTTTACTGTGTCCAGTATGGGGTTTACTTTTGTTATTATTATGTATTCTGCTATTAAATTCGTGTGTTTTTACAGTCCTTCCTTATGCTACTCATTTCCCTATTTAATTTTAGTCTATTGTCTTTTTATTTGATTCCCTCCTCATGGCTCTTCGTTTCTGCTTTTTTTGTTTGTTTGTTTTGTTTTGTTTTTTGACACGAAGTCTCGCTCTGTCACCCAGGCTGCAGTGCAATGGCGCGATCTCGACTCACTGCAAGCTCCACCTCCCGGGTTCTGCTTTTTAGGCAAGGTCAAATCATCTTATAAAAAGAACAGCTTGAAAAAATGGTGGAGACTGTGTTCATTTATTATTTTGCAACTCTAGTATTTCCTTCAATAGTTTATTCTATTTTACTCCTCAGCCCTTTATTGTATGAGCATTTCTATAGCTAAATTCTAGTCCTGGGCTAGTCATATTCTGTACATATTCCTTGTGCATTTCATTGACACCTATGCAATTATCATCTGTATTCAGGTGATTCACGTCCTTTTAGCTCTGATTTAGGCCACACTGTTGTTCTTAGAACATTTGCCTCTAGATGTCACATAGAGTTAAATATGACAAAACACCACTTATGCTGTTGCTTGTTAAATTCACTGCCTTGGGGAAAGCATATTGATTTCTTATTAACCTTTGTGCATTCCACTTTTCAGGTGGAAATGCATACTGCTTCTGCTTATGTAGCACTTCATACAGTGATCTTTCCCATGTTTTTATAACCTCTTAAATCTATTTTAGGAAATTTCTTGAATATCAATTTCTTATTTTGCCATCACTTCCAGTCAAGAAATTCTTTCTTTCTCTGTGTTTTTCCCTGGCCTTTCTCATCCAGTGTTGTTCTCTTTATAACACTACTATTCTTAAACTTAATTTAATTGATGAATACTCTCTCCAAAAAGCAGAACTTATTTCCAGTATCTGAAAGTTACAGGCTTCCCATTCTAATGTGTATGTAAGAATCTAGTATGGAATAAGAAGGGAATGGTTACATAAGTTATATCTTAGTATTGGAATATTATACTGTTATTTAAAATGATTTTGTACTATAAGGGTGCCAAACCAGGGTTTGTTGTATGTGGCTCTGTAGAGATGTGTTTTGTTTGGCTGGTGTTTTTTTTTGTTGTTTGTTTTGTTTTTTTTTTGTTTGTTTTTTTTGGCCTGTGGAGTGTGTTGTACCTTAGTTGTTATGCAAGCAGCTTAATATCTTCCACTCAGTTGGTCTCCTATATTTGTGGTACCTGCCTAGCTTATGTAGGAAGTTTGAGACCATTTTTGGAAAAGAATATTTTAAAGAGAAGGAAAATGCTGTATGAGTGAAAACTATAGATTTGTAGAAAAAAATACTGACAGTTATAAACAGATTTAAACAGTGGTTATCTATGAGTGATTAGAGGCGATTTTTATTCACTTTGCTTCTTACCTGTAGTTTCCAAATTTTCCCTAATGAATATCATTAGGGAAACCAATCAGTTAAAACCAATCAGTTAACACTAGTTTAAAAGAATATAGTTTTGTGTATGCATTCCATAGTACTAATCAATAACTTTTTATTAATCAATAACTTAGTCTACGCCCTTAGGCTTGACACTTAGGCAACTTATAGTACAGAAGATATGTGAAATCTGATCATTCCATTAACAGGCTTGTAGTCCTGCTTGGAGAGACAAACGTGATACAGGCTCTACTGGGATGTTACCAGTGAAAAAGGACATAGACAGATAGAAGATTCTCAAGCAATCTAACAGAAGTGGTCATTTTAGCCATGGGAGACTTCACTGAGTTGAAAGGCTGATGACATGTTTGTGATACTATGTTAAGAGCTCTTTAAGTTTGTAGACCATTGACGTTGCTAGTTATCTCCACAGAGAGAATCTTTCTTATAACCTGACTCTTCTGTTACAGGCATTTTATGTTGGTATTTTGTACACTTTGAAGTTTCCCAGCATCTTTTCTGAGTGTCTTAAGCCTTATTAGAAAAAAGTAGAAACTGAATTCTAAATTGTTAACAACCTGGTAACCATAGATACTTGACTGTTTGGAAAAAATGTAAACATATCAGCCCTGAGCAAGACAGCCAAACCAAAACAACCACAGCGAGGGATTCTGATTCCTTTGACAGACTCTGTTTCTTTTTATTAAAAGTATTTCTTTAGAGATGATAAAGCAATAATTTGCAAAATGAAATTAGAACATCATAATCCTTCTTGTTCAAGAAGCATTATTATTAAAAGGTAGCTTCATGTGCTACTAAGAAGCTAATTAGTTGTTGCCTGGCTTATCATGCTGAGAGACAGCTGTGATTCATGGGTATTTATCTATCACAACAGGATTTTCTAATGGTATTTGGTTATGAAATTATTTATACTTCTGACTCAGGCCTTTAAAAGGGCTTCCAGCCGTTTTTGAAAGCCAACTTCTGCACTCCAGAGCGTTTTGTGCTGTTGAGATGGTGAATCAGCTTGGCAGTGTGGTAGTGTGTGAATCCGGTCGCACTGCAGTGTCTGAGATGCAGTTTTCTGGTGAAACTTCTCAAGCCAAGTGCGATAATGAGTGTTCATTGATGTAGATCTTATAATTTTGTAGGAAATTTTCTAAGAAACTGAGCTTTTTCAAAATATTTAGAAATAACACCAACATGGATTTTTGTGGTTATGTTTACTCTAATAAGCTGTTAATAGGAATTTATACCATTATATTCCTTGTGTTAATTTCAATGTGTGAGTTTAGTATGGACTATTAATAACTTGTTTTTTCTTTATCAGGCTTTTATTTTATTTGGTTAGTGATTAGAATAGGAAAGAAATCAAAAGCTCTTCATAGAACTCTCCTGAACTTTAAATATTTAAATCATATTTAAATATTATTCATTACATTCATTTTTAAAGCACCTAACTCTTCATTTTGAAGATCTCAAATCATCATCTTTGAGTTATAGTACCAGAGCAAAAATGTGAGCCTTGATATATTTTCTTTCTTTAAAACAGGTTTTAGGTAAATAACAGGAGAAATTTTTGCTCATTTATTTGAATATTTCTGTGGCTTATATAAATCAAGGGCTGAATTACACAAATACATAATAGTGATTTGAAACAGACTCTAAAGTTAAGCAGTAGTTTTACTTAACCATCCCTTCTTAAGTAGAATAATGAGCTTTGTTGAGGGACAAAATTCCATTTGTTTTCCCAAAGTGGAAAGTAGATTTTGGGGTGACAAAGCCTTCATGTTCAAGGTTTTCCACAAGTGAGCTCCATGTTTAGAAATCCATAAATTATAGTTTGCATGGGTTGCTTTTATTAACAGCAAGGTGAGTTGTTAACAGGCCCTGTGCCTAACATGTGCGTATTGGGCAGATGTGAGTAGACTGAGCACGGATCCTCCTACTTTCCCAGTTTCATAAAGCGGTTTTAAGGTTTAAACTTGCCTAGTCCCAAATTATACAATTAATCATACTCAGTTGTCATTTTTCTTACTAATTGTTCCAAGCTCTTTAACATGATGTCTGGTGGCAGTAAGTCACTTAGCAGGCAATAGTGGCAGGGAAGAGAGAAGACTCTTTTGCCCCTAGAAGTTTATGTATGCTAGTCAAAGTAAGAAGGTCAAAAATAAAATGTTTCTAAGACATTTCCAAAGGATCACATAGGCATGACACCCAGCCCTTGAATGGCACATTACAAAGGTTAGAGGACCTAGATCTGTGAGACCCATTTTGACATTAACTTGCCATGTGGCTTTCTGAAAATCTCTTTATATCTGTCTCTGGGGCTGGGCATCATTACCTTTCATAGGGGGATAATAAATTATATCAGTTCCACCAGCCTGTTTATAGGATTTTTTTTTTTTTTTTTTTTTTTGAGATGGAGTCTTTGCTCTGTCGCCAGGCTATAGTGCAGTGGTACCATCTTGGCTCACTGCAACCTCCGCCTCCCGGGTTCAAGCAATTCCCCTGCCTCAGCCTCCAGAGTGGCTGGGATTACAGGCATGTGCCACCATGCCTGGCTAATTTTTTTGTATTTTAGTAGAGACAGGGTTTCACTATGTTGGCCAGGATGGTCTCAATCTCCTGACCTCATGATCCACCTGCCTCTGCCTCCCAAAGTGCTGGGATTATAGGCATGAACAAACTGCGCCCAGCCTGATAGGATGATTTTACATGATAAGACAAAATGATAACATAGAAAGCCTTTAAAAATAACATAGTATTGAAAGGTAAGGTAGATATTTGCTCGTCATGAACCTTCTCAGTTCCCCCTCCTAGTCCCTTAATTGTTGGACTGTTTCAGGATTCTATTCTAAGCATTCTTCTCGTATGCCATTGAGTGATCTTATCCATTTCCGTAGTTTCAGTTATGCGCATTGTCCCCATAGTACCATCCTTTGAGCTCCACCTAGTTGTGTAACTCCCAAGCCCTACCTGGCCGAATGTCAGTTTGATGTTGCATTTGAAGAAATATAGTCCAGCAACTAAAAGCAATAGTAAGGCAGAACTGCTCTTAACTTATTTCTCTTGAAGAATATAATAGCATGTAGCTTACAAATCAGCATTATTTCTTAAAATCGCTGTCATCTCCTCACTTCCCTGCTCAAGGGTTACTCCCTTTGTTACAGGCTCCCATTTTCCCCAGACTCACCCCGAGACTCTCACTCACAACTGTTTTTTGTCTTTTTTGGTCTTAACTTCTCCCAATATACCTCATGATTTGCCCATGTTTTCTTTTCTCCACCCTTTTTTTGCTTAGCATGATAAAAGCTCAAGAACTAGACTGACAAAGACCAAATTCTCCCTTGAGGATAAAGGAGGAGACAGGTTATTCTGGCGAAGACCTTATTGGGTAGGGGAAACAGGGAGGGGGTGGGACCACTCACATGTAAATAATCTGTATTCCCAGCACACCATCAAGCAGGCCACTTACTATCTACTTCTATATTTCACAAAGTGCCTCTGACTCAATTCCATCTATGACCTGACCTTATTATCTTGTACTCAAACTTCATTTTTTCCCTCCCTATCTTTGTACAAAGTGCCCATCATGCTCCTAGTTGCTTTTTCCTGACATCAAAACATCATCCTCAGCTTCCTTCTCTCTTTATCCTTCACATCCTATTCATATTCTCTTTAACCTAGATACCAAAGACATAATTCTCAAATCTCTTCATTTCAGTCCATCACCATTGCTGCCACTGTACGTGTTGCTTCCCTGCAATCAATTTTCCGTACTCCAACTAGAATGATCTAGTTGATCCTGATCATTGAACCTGATCATGCATCTTCCTCTTCTACCCTATTCAGAGGCTTCTGCGCACTAAGCCCTTAATTTGGCCTTTAAGATCCTTTACACTGTGGTTGATCCTTGCCCATTTCTCTAAAAGTAGTCCGCCACCCCTTCCTCAGCAGGATGCTTTTCGTCCTGCCTGAAGGCCCTTACCTAAGCTGATCTGATTGTCTGCAGTACCTCCCAACTCTCCCCTATCTCCAACCTACTCTCACTTACTTATTCACTACATCTCAGCTTAAATATGACTTCTATCCAAGGCCCCTCTGACTCTTCAGGCTGGGCCGGTCCCTTTGCTATAGTCTGATGTTCCTCACACTTCCCCTTTGGCAATACCCATCCCACTCGACTAGCAGACCCTAAGCTCCACGAGAACAGAGCTCATGTCTCTCTCCTACAGCACTATCTCCAAAGTGCTAAACACAGTGCCCAGCTCAGATCCAGTGTCTGATGAATACTCACTGATTAATGGATGCTGCTTCCATGACTTAGGCGCCCTCTGTCTCTCCCATCTTATCTGCACACATATTCCGCCTCACATTTTCTATTTATCTCTCAGAAAACCCCGTGTCATTTCATATAAAGATTTAAGCTCATGTTCTGTGCAGAATTGTCTGCCCAACCTTTCCAACTACCACCTGGTCATTGTCAGCTTGCCACAGTAGAATCCAGTGTATAGCTTTATTATGACCCTTACCATGTTATTTTGAAGTTATTTACTTGATTGTATGCTTTTGTGAGTAGGTCTTGTGTGTACTTTCCTTCATAGCAGGGACCCTATTTTATTTGTTTGTACTCATCCTTATAATCCTGTCACCTACTATAGAAAGAATTGGGATGCCTCATAACTAGAGATGATAATAAGAATAAAAATAATTGCTGATCTTATTGACTACCTTCTGTAAGCCAGGCACAATTTTAAGTGCTTTACTTAACTCATTGAATCCTCTCAACTCCTATGAAGTAGTTACTTTTATTCTTCCTATTTTATAGATGAGGAACTTTAGACCCAGAAAAGTCAAGTAAGTTGTCCAAACTTAACCAGCTGATAAGTGGCAAGGCTGGAATTGAAACCCACTGGTTCCAGAGCCTTCCCTTACTTATGATGATCCGTCAATATAGTTTGTGCCATCAAAATTGGGTTTTAGAATCTTGCTGTCTGCTTTAAATTCTGATTCTTCTACCTACTCATCATGTGACCTGAGGTATGAAAAATGGAGATAATTACATGCCCTTTAAAGGGATATCCTGAGGATTAAATAAGATTATTAGTCCCTATAAAATATCTGCTGAATGTAGGTAGTTGTTGCAGTGTTAAGTCAGCCAGAGCACTCATTGGACAGAAGGTCTTTCATGGTTCTTTCCAACTCCAAATCCAATGAGTCTGTCTTCAATCTTTACCCTTTGTCAGTACGTATTACTTTCAAAGCTCTGGTGTTTGTTTTAAATAATCGAACTTTATCAGGGTCTGAGGACATACCTGCATTTCTGTCAAGTAAAATCTATGTGTTTTTTATGAGCATGTGTTGCCTAAAACCACAGTCCTGATTTCCCATGCTCAAATCTGGGGCTACATGGCTAAATAAAGATCTCTGTCTAAAGAGAACAACCAAATTCCTGTTTATAGTCAGACCATAGCAGAAAAAGAAATCCAAGTTGTAAATTATTGTTTGAATTATGAAAGTTTGAGATGTTCTAATAGTAAAAGAACTAAAGAGAATATACAAATCCCGTGTCAACATTTGCAGCAGATGTTTGTTTCCTCTTTCCAAGTTAGATGAGGGCATTTCAGGGTGGTCTGTGTTATTAAATTGATTAGCAGTCAAATGGAAACTTCAGCTGCTTAGGTGATGATTTAATTGTGAAGACTGTTAATACTGTGTCTATTAGCACATGCTTATTATTCTATGAAACTCAAAGTCGTAAGATTATTGACAGGCACTACAGTAGCAAACAACATTGGTGGAAATTAGTATCTAGTTCTGAGACTTAATGGTTTGACTTGTGTGCAAATTTAATAACTACTTATCAGTAGTTATGCAATAATACAGTGAATTTTCCCAAATAAATATGTATTACTTAAATAAATCTTGCCTATCTGTTCATCTATGTATTTATTTGCCTTGTTCAAAGATGTAACAAAGCAAATAAAAATAGAGGAAAAATACACTTATAATAGGATAAATTACAACTGTTATGGCATTAGGAGAGAGTTTGGGTCACAAAATAATACCTTGAAGTCCAAAACATTGGATGGAGGTGGGCCTTTCTGACTGTGTACATAAAAAGGGAAATGAAAAAAAGCTGCAATTTATAATAGCCATCAACTAACAAAAATCACCTGTAGAAAACCACAACTATTGCAGTTACTGAGACCATAGAGAAATGTCACTTGCTGTATGGAATGTAATAAATAGCACCTTCAACAGCACTTGTACAGAAAACACAGCAACAGGTTTCTTAGTACTGATTCCTTCAACACAAGCTGTTTTTTTGCCATCATAAATTCGTTAAAAAGCAATTAGTTAAAAGCAATTCTATATAGATCTGTTTTATTCATTTTATTGATGTTCTGGCTTAATCTAAGGATTGATTTATAGTATCTAGAGATATAAACATTAAATTTTTTAGGCAATCTTTTTTTTTTTATGGAGGCTTTGGTAAGTATTGATTAGATACAGCAAATCAGTATCTGTCCAACCTTTGGGTAAGGCTGAATACTATAACAGGCTAAATAATACTAAATACTAAAATAGGCTAAATAATCAGACATACATGGAAATTGCAGGGGCCACAAGAGGGTGAGACTTTAAGAAATCATTTGGATTGGCTTAAAGTTCTGTACTATACAACTTTAGGTTTTTAAATACACAGTAAGTGTCAAGATCACTCTGGAGAATTTTAAAAGGACAATCTCATCCCCCACCTCTGTAGTTTTCTATTTAGTAGGTCTGAGGTGGGTGAGGTAAGAGCAATTTTATTTAAAGAAAAAAGTCACATGAGTAATTCTGGTTATCAGTGAAGTTAGAACTACTGCCATAGAGAATACTGCATTAATTTCAGATAGAAAAAAATTTAAAGCTAATATAATCAAATACACCTTAGCTGTAAAACTCTTTTATTCTGAAATGTATACCTAGCCAATTGAATAAGGTGATTTATTATATGAATTTCTTATTAGTAAACCAATTAAAAGTTTAGTAAATCTACTGGCATCTAACTATGTCTTTGAATAGTTAATATGTATCCTAAGATAATTTTTTATTCTCACTATTGTCTGATTACATTTCCATATAGACTAAAAATATTTCAGTAATCATTCTATCTAGAGAACTTTTTTTGCTATTTTTAGTCCTCAAGAAGTTATAAAGCATACTTATATGCACTCTGAAATTATCTTAGGTCTTTAGGGGTGCTTTCATTTGTAGGCTTTCAAGTGATAATAAGAAAAATGATATCTCACATACATTTTTACTTGTCTGCAGTAGCCCCAAATTAGTTATGAACAAAATCTTAAATATGTGGTAAACCTTTGCTTAAAGTAGAAAACCAAGCCCATATATGTAAGTGTATGCCTAAATCTAGCATTAGTATTTATTGCAACAGAAATCTTGAGTAAATGTCTCACATTTACTTTTCATTGTTTTTATAGGCATTGCTTCTATGACAGTGCCAGTGTACATTGCGGAGGTCTCACCACCCAATTTAAGAGGCCGATTAGTCACCATTAATACCCTCTTCATCACAGGAGGGCAGTTCTTTGCAAGTGTTGTTGATGGAGCCTTCAGTTATCTCCAGAAGGATGGATGGAGGTTTGTAAATACTTTTTACATTTAATTTTTCAAATCTTGATTTTGGGGAAGGGGAGAAAAATTGAGAAATCATAGTCAAAATATAGCTGTGTGTTTTGAATCATTATTGCTAATTTATAAGTAGGTGACATTCAGCAAAACTGAGAGTGGACAGGAAGCTGATATTTATTTTGATGATAGACAAGGAACCTACCATTAAGAATTGATATTTACAGGGCTTTTTTAGCATTTAGGTGACATTTCTCACACTGTGTGCAATCTTTTGCAATATTTGTTTAAAAATGAATGCAGTGATAAATATGTATGGAGTTCATGAATTCTACAATGATTGACAAGCTGTTTATGAACTACAGATATAACTAACATCCTTTTTGCATTCTGGAAGCTACATTTTGATCTGAAAGAAACGTAGTGTTTAAAGATAAAAATATACCTCTATAAAAAGATATACATGAGTTTAAAGTATACAAATTATTCCTTGATATTTGGCTTATTTTGAATCAATAAATGACAAAAGTGGTTTTAAAACTGCTTTAAAATAAATACAAACTATTATTAAAACAAAATCTTATGTTAAAGCTTAAAAGATATTATGGGCTCTGGATTTTGATATCTTTATAGTACTCATGTAACTGTTCCAGAGAAATTTTATTAAAAGGCATTAGAGGTTATACAATATTGCCTATCTTGTTTTCTTGCCTCTACTTATTAGAACAAATATTTATTCAGTATTTACTTCTCTGTAGATACTGGGGAATAGAATATTCAACAATATAAACTCAAACCCTTGTTTGCATGGCTTTTACAGTGTTGATGTTAATCCTCAACAGTAGAAGAAAAAAGGGTGTGGACTGGGTGTGGTGGCTCACGCCTGTAATACCAACACTTCAGGAGGCCAAGGTGGGCGGATCACTTGAGGTCAGGAGTTTGAGACCAGCCTGGCCAACATGGTGAAACCCTGTCTCTACTGAAAATACAAAAATTAGCCAGGTGTGGTGGCACACACCTGTAATTCCACCTACTTGGGAGGCTGAGGCAGGAGAATCGCTTGAACCCTGAAGGCGGAGGTTGCAGTGAGCTGAGAGTGTACCACTGCACTCCAGCCTGGACAACAGAGCGAGACTCCATCTCAAAAAAAAAAAAAGAAAGAAAGAAAAAGGTGCAATATGATGTGGACCCAGGGAATTAAACTGCTTGTAAGAAGCACGATAAACCTTGTGGCTTAGGATGAGCCATTAAAGACCTAAATGGGTGAAGTTTTAATTAAAAGTCATGTGAGAAAACTCTTTGAAGCTAATGAGGGCCTACATTTGTAAGGACCATTAAGGGGAGGACACAGTTTTTAAAAACGGTTGTTGTGTCTGCAGATGTTGCTAAACTGAAGCAGGAAGTTTCTTTCTTCTTTTTTTTTTTTCTACTCAGTAGATGAAGAGAAAGAGGAAAGACGATAACTGTTTTCAGTATAACCTGGTATTTTGAGTTTTTCTTGTAAATGCAATGGAAGTCAGTCTTTCAACTTACATGTCTTTAAGAAGTTCTAAATCATCAATTTATATTTTGTTAAAAATTTTTATTAATGTAAGTAATATAGATATATTCAAATGCATAGCATGTATAGTTGCATAAATCACATTTTTCACTTACGCATAACAATTAAGAAATCTTTTCTCAGTCCTGGTTAGGAAAGAGAAAGATCTCACAGTAGTGACAATACATTTATGAATGTGGTGTGCCCGTGTAAAAGCGGAGGTGTTGGGACAAGCCTGAAACCCCCTTGCAGAGGCAAGGAGACATCATAGACAGACCTGGATTCAAATCTGTTTTTTACCATTGATTAGATAAGAACCCCAAACAAATCATTTAGCCCCTCTGAGCTTCACTTTTCTATAAAGTAGAACCAGAAATACTTATAAGATTATTGTGGGATCCAAATTACTTATTATATGTAAAGTGTTTAGCGTAGCACTTGGCACATGGCAGATAATAAATGAAGAATCACATTGTTAGTTGCTGTTCTGATGAATTGAGTAAAAGATGGATGCTACTATCGATGTTGTAAGAGAGGCTGAAGGAAAATCAACATTCTGTGTTATCTGTTTTCTTTATTGGCAAGAATGATGCTTCAAGATGGTAGGGCAGAAGACTAGAGAAAAAAAGATTTAAAGTGTATTGCTGCTGTGGGAAGCATGAGAAGGAAAAGACTAGGGACAACACATGATTTCCAAGTAACCATGGAATCCCAGCTGAAGCTGGAGACATATATTTGCAGTAAAGCCAATTAGCATGCTCATGTTTATTTTTCTGGCAATACTGGATTGCCTAGGGATGAAAAAATAAAATAAGAGTATGGGAAAACTAACTCCCGTTGATATATAGACCAAAGTATTAACAACCAGATTGTTTTGAACCCAATTTATTCTTTGCATGAATACACATTTAATTATGTACACATGCAAACATGTTTCCTTTTTTTTAGGTGAATTTTCTCTGTTATTGTCTTCTGTTATCTAGTATCCTTATCAGTATATTTATCTCATCTGACTCCTGGGCTAATAGGAATGTGGTTATAAGCAAATAAAAATTGAAGTGCTACCTTAGCATTAACTTTAGACTCTGTAATTGTCAACAATTGATAACTTATTCATAATTATAACAATAGATAACTCATCACTTTTATAGCAATATGTTTCAAAAATCTTAAGGAAAAATCTGAAGGAAAATGTGGGTCTAAATATATCATGTAAAATTTCTTTTCCATACTCATATTTTTATATATCTTCACATTAGATGTCCCCAGTCTTCAAATAATTTGAATATTTTAAATTTGTTTTATTTCCCTTTTTGGCTTTTATTGCTTCTGAAACTCTACCTCAAGTTTCTAATATTAAATTTTATACTACAATACCCAGTGTCCCAGATTTACTGGTCTTGCATTATAGTGATGAACAGTTTCAGCGTCTGGTAGCAAATACCATTTGATCCTAACCAAAATCTTGACAGGTTAGTGGAATTGGTATTATTCTCATTTTGCAGATTAAAAACTTGATGCTTAGAGAAGTTAAATATTTGCCTGAGACCACATGGCTATTACTTGGCCTTGGCAGAGATTAGATTCAAATCTTCTTATTCAAAAGCTAACTCCTTTCTTCCTCATGGTTCTGCTTTCAAGCGTTTATAATCTAACAGCCATAATTTTTGATAATTTTTACAGTAGTGATTGGATTAAGACAGATGGAAGATGAAATCGATTGACAGAAAAGCAATTTAGATTTTGATGTTGTAGAAACATTATAGTTCACCTTTTATGCCAGATGGGTCAAAGTTTCTGTTCTCTTATTTTTTAGATATCATAGAAATAAATTGTTTTCTGCTGAACAACTGGAAGTTTACTTTCTCTAGAAAAAAAGAACTGCCAGTAGCAGAATCAATGTTGCTATTTTTCTGGCACTTCATTATCATAGTACATTCTGTACTGGGAAGGATACCATCTGGCTTCATGAAGAAAGAGGAAATAAAATTTTGAAAATATTGTTAAAGATTTGATTTTTTAATAAAAACAACTTTATTGAGATGTAATTCATGCACCATTCAACTCATCCATTTAAATTGTACAATCACTTGGCTTTTAGTGTATTCACAGAGCTATGCAACCATCGCCACAATCAAATTTAGAACATTTTCGTCACCCTAAAAAGAAACCTTGCACTCCTTAGCCATCACCCCCTAACCCCCCAAGCTGTCCCACATTTAGGCAACCATTAATCTACTTTGTGTTTCTATAGGTTTATGTATTCTGTATATTTCATATATGAATATGTGGTTCTTTATGACTGGCTTCTTTCACTTAGCAAATTTTCAAGGTTCATCTAAGTTGTAGTATGTGTCAGTACTTCATTTCTTTTTATAGCAAATAATAATATGGATATACCACATTTTGTTTATCTATTCATCAGTTGATAGGTATTGTTAACATTTTGGGGCTATATAAATAATGATGCTATGAACATTTGTGTACAAATTTTAGGATAGACATAAGCGTTTACTTCTCTTGGATATACACCTATCTGTGGAATTGCTAGGTCATATGATAACTGTATTTAGGTTTTTGAGGACTGGCCAGACTGCTTCCAAAGTGGCTGTATTATTTTGCATTCCCACAAGCAACGTATGAGGGTTTCAATTTTTCCATGTCCTAGTAAACACTTGTTATTTGTCTTTTTTGATTACAGTCATCCTAGTGGGTGTGAAGTGGCATCTCACTGTGGTTTTGATTTGCATTTCTCTAATGAGTAATCATGAGGATAACTTTTTTTTTTCCTAATATATTGTAGTGTTGACAAAGATGGCAGAGATGTTTCGATAGTTAATATTAATGATAAAGTTCTATCGCTGCTTGCCCTTTTCTTTGCATATGTATATATTTGCATTATAGTGACGAACAGTTTCAGCATCTGGCAGCAAATACCATTTGATCCTAACCAAAATCTTGACAGGTTAGTGGAATTGGTGTTATTCTCATTTTGCAGATTTAAAACTTGATGCTCAGAGAAGCATATATATATATATAGTTTATTTTTATTTTTAGTAGAGATGAGGTTTCACCATGTTGGCCAGGCTGGTCTCAAACTCCTGACCTCAAGTGAGCCACCTGCCTCAGTTTCCCAAAGTGCTGGGATTACAGGTGTGAGTCACCATACCTGTCTTCTTTGCTAATATTTTTAAATCTTACTTCATGAACATAGTGAGATTTACTCACTACACTTCAAGCAAACAAAAAATATCCTTTTTTGAAAATTGCTTAGTTAAATCCTGGCTTATCAGTAAATATATAGTAAGTGAACTTAGCCATCAGAATGATCTGTCTAGAAAACTTATCTGGGCATGCCACTAGTAAAATGTTTCAAGACTGTCTATTTCCTACAGGGAAAAAAAAATTAAATTCTTTATCATGGCTTGTAGTACCCAATCCATGCATTCTTTTCAAGATTCTTCTAACTAGTGTTGCCCCCGACTCCACTTTGTATAAAACCCAAGCTTATAAACCAACCATATCTTGCTTTGTCATGTTTCTAGTTTTTTTTTTTTTTTTTTCATTCTTATGCTCTTTTTTGCCTGTAGTGTCTCCCTACCCTATCCAGGGATTCTGGTCCAGCTCCTGTTCATCCTGTAAATCTCTGCTCATGAATCATGGAAACTCTGTTCCTTTGTCTTTTCATAATAGTTTCTACAAAGCTCCATTTTTATACTCACCATATTATATTCAACTACTTGCTTACTCTTCTATCTCCTCTCATTCATTTTGGAACTCCTGAATGTCATTGACCTTTTACTCATTTTTAGATCTAGGAAGGGCGCAGAACATAGTAAATATTCAGTAAATGTTTATTGAACTGAGCTGAAATTCACTGGGCTCTAGGGAAGGGACTCTTAGTTAGCATAAAAAGATATTTATTATAAACCAAATACCAATGTATTAATTTATACAGAGGGATATATATACTTCATAGATAGATAAAAATTAAATCATTAATTATATGTGTTTCTGCAGGTACAAATAAGAGAAAGAAAATTAGTTTCTGAGCCTATGAAAATTTATCTCCTTCAAGAGAATATACCTCCCTAGGAACCTGAAAACTTTCATTATTTTCTCTTTGGTAATGCTGATTTTCAAATGAGTGTCTCTGTGTTTACAAGTATATAGTCATCATGTGATTTGTATTAATAGGGATAGGTATATATACAGAGGGGCTAAATTTTTCTGTTTCATGCTGATTTTTACTCATCTTATTCCTAGATCTACTTTAAAAAAAAAACAGGCTTATCTTATTCCACCTCACTAAACTATGTACAACCATTTGTTAAATGTCTGGTTGTGCTAGTCATTTTCATGTTTCATCATTTAATTGATGTAATATAGGTATTGAATGAGAAATACAAAATATTAGTCCTGGGAACCTCTATAGGAGAGATTTTCCTGAGTATCCTGAGGCTGACTCATGCACAATGTGAGACATGCTGAGTTTTGAAGAATTGATGGGACTCAGGTGGACACAGGTGGATATGGGAGGCAGAGTGTAGACCAGGAGGGGGTAGGATCAGGGAGGATTAAGACTACAGTGATGATGTACATGAGAGGCTGAAGCCAGATTCCAATGGTCTATGAATTCAAGTCCAACTTCTGTCTACAGGCAAAGGGAATTTATTATTTTTTTAGCAGAGTGTGCCATGACAGGAGTCAAAGATCACTACGGCAGTGATGCCCAGAACTAACTGGGGCTCTCGCCTCTTGGGTAGATTTAGGAAACCTAGTTATGAGGCTGCTGCCAAGGTACAGGTGTGAGGTTATACTTTTGGAGTCATCAGTTGGTGTGGAAATAATTCAGTCATTCATTCAAAAGAGTTTCTTGACACTTTCTGCATACTAGTCTTGTATTTAATACTAGAGATGGAAAGATGGATAAGAAGTGCTCCTCCTGTCCTGAAGCCTCTAATGGCCTAATATAGGAGAGAGACTTTTTTTAGTCTGTTGAATAAATGATGGATATAGTGTAATGGGAGCTCCCAAGATGAATGAATAACTTAGCCTCACAACAGAAAGATATTTGAGCTTTTTGAATAAAAGAATTCCAGGTACAGTGAGGGAGAGGGAAATTCTAGGTGAAATGTAATCTTCAAAGGCCCTGTCATCTGAAAGAACCAGTCATGCTTGGACAAGAGTGAGAAGTTAGAGCAGCTAGGAGGAGGGCTATGATGATCATCTGGGAGTTTGGGGGTGAAGTGGGAAGGCCGGCCTTTGGTGGGTGTGGATGGAACTTGAAATCCTTTGCTCTCACTTTCATAACACATTAGATTTGGGTTTGTTTATTGAAAGCCTCAAAAAAGACCAGCCTGGCCAAGATGGCGAAACCCCGTCTCTACTAAAAAAATAAAATTAGCCGGGCGCGGTGGTGGGCGCCTGTAATCCCAGTTACTCGGGAGGCTGAGGCAAAGAATTGCTTGAACCCGGGAGGCAGAGGTTGCAGTGAGCCAAGATCATGCCACTGCACTCCAGCCTGGGTGACACAGCTAGACTCCATCTCAAATAATAATAATAATAATAATTTTAAAATCCATGTCAATAAGATGCTTCTCAGAATGATATTTAAATGGGGATGTTATTTCTAAACAACTTTATGCTGGAGAATGTGTTCTTAAAATTTCGTGCTAATAGATCAGTGGTACTTGGCTCTATATGAAATGTAGAATATGAGTCAATCACTATCTTAAAAATAGAAGTATGCAGTGGTCATTTTAAGAATGATAGATTTAGATAACACATGTATTAATTGGTGGCAAACAGTCTCATTACAAGTAAATACCTGCCAGGTGCCATGGCTTATGCCTGTAATCCCAGCACTTTGGGAGGCCAAAGCTGGTGGATCACCTGAGGTCAGGAGTTCGAGACCACCCTGCCCAACATGGTGAAACCCCATCTCTACCAAAAAATAGAAAAATTAGCTGGATATAGTGGCACATGCCTGTAATCTCAGCTACTCAGGAGGCTGAGGTGGGAGAATCTTGAACCCAGAAGGCAGAGGTTGCAGTGAGCCAAGATCACGCCACTGCACTCCAACCTGGGTGACAGAGTGAGACCCTTTTTCAAAACAACCCCAAAAAGTAAATACCTTAGTGCTGAAGATATAAATACGACTGTTTATCATGAAGATATTACAGTGTGGTGGGAAGAATATGTTTAAGATTTGCTTTCACAGCGTATGAATTAATTTATCTAAGCTCTAATAGTCTCACCTAGCCAGTGTTCCAGCAGTCATACAATGTTATTTACGGGATCAAATGAGCTAGTAGCAGTGAACATACTTACAAACTCTTCAGTGCTATTAGGTATTGTTTGCTGTTATCTTCAGAATGTTTTAGGTTAAGTCTCTATATTCGGCATTTAAGCTGGCAATAAAAATTGCTCTCACCTTCAGTTATCTGATTTTTTTCCAGGAAAATGTAAACATGGTTTGGTAATGACAGAGCAGTTTGTATAAGTCTAATTCCCCTGAAGATGACCATTATAAAACATGGACAGAATGTGTGAATGTATGGAGCATGGAAGATATTTAGGATAGTGAAAATACTCTTTATTATACTTTAATGGCAGATACATGCCATTATACATTTGTCCAAACCCATGAACTATATAGCACCAAGAGTGAAACCTAATGTAAACTTTGGACTGTAGGTGATAATGATGTGCTAATGTGGGCTCATCACTTGCAACAAATGTCCCACTTTGGTGGAAGATGTTGATAATTGGGGAGGCTATGCATACGTGGGCAGGAAGTGTGTGGGAGATCTCTGTACCTTCCTCTCAATTTTTTGATAATAGCAAAAGAGTTGGAGGCAGTAAATGGAATTATATATTTGTGAAGCAGTATCTCTAGGTAGACTGATAAGTGAAAGATGCATGTTTTTATCTGTAGAACAATGACTAGAATATATTACAAAAAGAAACACATAAGAAGCCATTATGAGCATTAAAACGTAATACTTAAAATATTTGGATAAGCTGAATAAATGCAATAAATTAAGAACACAGGAATGAATAAGAGATGGCACAAATAGCAAATAGCAAAATGGTATACCTAAAACCCATTTATGGTAATAATCGCATTAAATGTAAAAAATTATTGTGTACTAAAAATGTGGCACAGATCTACATTGTCTAAAGAGACACACTTTAATGCTATTAGATTCAAAGTGAAAGGTTGGGAAAAGATGTAATATACAAAAGTGAGTATAGGAAGGCTGGTGTGGCTATATTAATAGTCACACAAAGTAGACTTCTAGAGAGACAGTATTAGCAGAGATAAAGAAGGACATTTTCTAATGACAAAAGAGCCAAGTCATCCGAAATAATAATGATACAAAATGTGTAGTTTATCTAATAAGATAGCTTCAAAATACATGAAGCAAAAATTATCAGCTGGCAGTTAGCCAGCAGTGTGAATGCACTTAATTCTGTAGAGCTGTATACTTAAAAGTGGACAAAATGGTAATTTTATTTATATTTTACCACAATAAAAAAATGGGCAAATTGAGCTTATATTTGCAGAATTTTTAACTCTTTTTTTTAACAACGATAGAACAACTAGATAAAAGATTATAAAAAAGCAGTACAATACTATTAAATACCTTGTCAAAACTGACATTTGTAGACTGCTACATCCAACAATTGCACTATACATATTATTTTACTTTCCCTTTTCCTTTCCTTTTCCCTTTCCCTTTCCCCTTCCCTTTCCCTTTTTCTTTTCTTTCTTTTTTTTTTTTTTGAGACAGGGTCTTGCTCTGTCACCCAGGCTGGTGTGCAGTGGCATGAACATGGCTCACTGCAGCCTCGACCTCCTGGGCTCAAGTGACCCTCCCGCCTCAGCCTCCTGAGTAGCTAGGACTAGAAGTACATGCCACCATGCCCATTAATTTTTGTATTTTTTTTGTAGAGACAGGGTTTTACCATGTTGCCCAGGCTTGTCTTAAACTCCTGGGCTCAAGTGATCCACCCACTTTGGGCTGGCATTATAGGCGTGGGCCACCATGCCTGGCCTTATGAATTATTTTTCACATTTACATTAGACAGTCTCCAGAATTCATCATATCCTGGGGTATAAAATAAATGTTAGTAATTTATTAAATAAATAAATGAAATATATGCCCCCTGACCACAGCAGAATTAAATTAGAAACCAATAACAATAAGATAGCCAGAAAAAGCTGCAAATCTTTGTAAATTAAAGTAGCAGGTTCTAAATAATTCATGGGTCTAAGGAGAAATCAGAAGGAAAATTGGAAAATAGCTTTGAATGGAAAGAAAATACAATATATTAAAATTTGTGAAATGCAGCTACAGCAGTGCTTAGATGAAAATATGTGGCTTAAAAGTGATTGCAGTAGAGAAGAGGAAAGGTTTAAAGTCAGTGATCTAAGTTTCATGTTAAGAAGCTAGAATAATAGGAGCAAATTAAACCCAAACAAAACAAATAATGAAATATTAAAGAGCAGAGGTCAATGTTAACAGTTGGTTCTTTGAAAAGATTAATCAAATTGATACACTGGCTACGACTGATTAAACTGATTAAGAATAAAAAGATAAAGTACAAATTATCAATATCAGGAATAAAAGAGGGCATGTCATTCTATGGACATTATGAGGATAATGAAGGAAAAATTTGAACAACTGTGAACAACTTGGTGCCAATAAATTTACCAACTTAGATGGGATGGTCATTTGCTTGACAATCACAACTTACCAAAAATGGACATGAAATGGAAAATTTGAGTATCCTTTTATTTATTAAAGAAGCTACATCATTATTAATAAGTTACCTGCAAAGCAAATTCCAGGCCCATATAGAATTTTTTTTTTTTTTTTTTTTGAGACCTGAGTGCCAGGTCTCACTCTGGCACTCAGGTGGCTGGAATGCAGTGGCAGGATCATAGCTCACTTACAGCATTGACCGCCTAGGCTCAAGGGATCCTCCCAGCTCAACCTCCTGAGTAGGTGGGACCACAGGCACATGCAACCACACCCGGCAAATTTTTGTATTTTTTGTAGAGATGAGGTTTTACCTTGTTTCCTGGGCTGGTTTTGAAATCCTGAGCTTAAGCAATCCACCCACTGCAGCCTACCAAATTGCTGAGATTAGAGGTGTGGGCCACTGCACCCAGCCCCTGGTGAATTCTATAAAATATTTAAGGAAGAAATAGCTTCAATCTTAAACAAAAACTTTAAGAAAATAAAGGTAGAATAAACACTTCCCAATAAGGTTTTTGAAGCCAGCATAATTCTATTACTAGGGCCTGAGTTGTTACAAGAAAAGTAAATTTGAGTCCAATTTCATGAACTCAGACCAAAAGGTATCCTTAACAAAAAATTAATAAAACTGAACCAAGCAGTATGTAAAAGGGGAATAAATCATGACCCAGGAAGGTTGGTTGGTTTAGCATATGGAAAAATAATCCATGCAAGTCACCATATTGAAATTATTCAATGGAGGCAAATCTGTATGATCATCTCAGTATATGCAGAGAAAATATTTGAGAGAATAACATTCATTTATGATAAAACCTTTCAGGAAACCAGAGTAGAAGATGACATCCACACAAAAAAATTGCAGCCAGCTTTATTCTCAGTGGTGAAAAAATGATGCTTTCCCTTATGACTGTTTGCTAGGCAAAGATATCCACTATCATCACTTACATTCATTCAACCAGAAAAGTTGATTCTAAATTTTTTATGGAAAATCAGAGGACCTAGAATTGCTAAACTATCTCAAAGAACAAAGTTGGAGGATTCACTGTCTAATTTCAAGACTTATTATAACACTAAAGTAATCAGGACAGTCTGGTAACAGTAGATAAATGAATCAGTGACATAGAAGGAACAACCATATGAATGAATTTTTTAAATATTGTGCTGATTAAAAGAAGCTAGACACAAAACAGTACATTCCCCATGATTCCATATGAAGTTCATCAATGTGCAATGGGGTCAGAAATTTGATCAGTGGTTGTCTACGGCAATGGGGATTGACTGGAAAAGGGGTACGACAGAACTTCCTGGAATTATGGAAATGTTCTCTTTCTTGATTGAGATAGTGTTTACAAGGGTGTGCATATTTTCTTAAAATTCAGAATGGTTACACCTTGGATCTCTGCATTTTCTTGTATATAAATTTTACCTAAAAATAAATTAATTTCAGCCTTATGGTGGATTTCTCTGTTATATTCCTGTTCTGCATTGACCAATGAATAACATAAATGTTTCTGCCAGAATTTTTTTCTAATAGCTTCTGTTGGAATAACTGCTCTCCTTAACTCCTCCTACACTGGGCCTAAACCCCCATCATGGCAGTTAAAGAATCCTATTTTGTTTGATGATTACTGGAGTATAGGTTACTTGAAGCAGGGGATGTCTGTTGATCATTACTGTTTCTCTATAATCCCTAGCTCAGAGCTTTTCATGGATGATTCTCAGAGTTTGGGGGGAAAAAAGGATATGTGTATATTTAAGAAGTGTGTACATTATTTTCAGCAACAGTACTGTGAATTTTGTGCAGGTCTTAACGTATTTTACCATGCAGTTTAAAACTACTTAATATTTGTGCAAAATGCCATATTC